>NT_187505.1:0-148850 GCF_000001405.40 Homo sapiens | reverse complement strand
GAATTCATACATGAATGCATAATGCCATCGCTCACTACCAAAAATTTTGCAGTAGAGCTTCCCACATTTGGGGCAATTCCAGGGATCAGCATATCCCTATGATGGATCCAGAGTGGAATGGATAAGCCTTGCCCTGGGAAAACTGCCTTTAAGATCATGGTATCTGCCCTGCCAGGTAAGTATGAAACTGGATATTTCTAAGGCACATTGGAACAAACCTCATTTTTAGCCACAAGTTATGGGTATCTTGAAAAGCCCTTATTGCAAAACACATAGAAATAGCAGGTAAAATACAGTCAACATGGACTTAAATGCCTAGTTGTGCTTCCAGGAGGATAAGGAAACCCCCGGGGGAAGATGGCAAAGCAGAAAACCTGAATGGCCAATGAATGCAAAACCATGGCTGCTAGGGAAACATTTCCCAACCTCAAGAATCTAGAGACGTGAATCTGAAGGCTGAGTGGGGTGGCAGAAGACAAGGCTTTAGGTCACTGCCAGGTAGAGACCTCTGCATACGTTCAGAACTCATTAATCAGGAATTAAAAGCTTCTAACAAAAGTAAAGAGATAAAAAAGGAGCTTGTTCATCTCATGTTCATTGCAGCATTATTCATAATAGCCAAGAGGTAAAAGCAACCTAAATATCTGTCAAGAGATGAATGGATTTTAAAAAGTGGTATATACACAATAAATTATTATTCAGCCTTAAAAAAAAAGGAAATCCTTTCATATGTCATAACATAGATAAACCTTGGGGATACTATACTAAGTGAAATAAACCAGTCACAAAAATACAAACACAGTGCTGCATGATCCTTCTTATATGAGGTTTTTAAAGTAGTCAAACTCTTAGAAACAGAGACGTAAAATGGCAGATGCCAGGGACTAGCGGAGGGGGAAAAGAGGACTTGTTCAATGGGTATAGAGTTTTATAGGTGAATCCCACACTCTAATCCTACTCAAGCTGGTATAGAGGATGGGAACAAAGATAAGACTATAGATTTATGAACAATAAAAAGTGTAAACCAAGCATTCTATACCTAGCCAAACTGTCATTCACATATGGAGACAAAAAGAGAAAAAGAGTTTCAAACATGCAGGAATGTAGGACAATCATTTGTACAACCTTACTGAAAAATTGTTCTCTGAATTAAAATAAATGTGGCCGGGCACAGTGGCTCATGCCTGTAATCCCAGCACTTTCGGAGGCCAAGGTGGATGGATCACTTGAGGCCAAGGTTCAAGGCCATCCTGGGTAACATGGTGAAACCCCATCTCTAGTAAAAACTCAAAAATTAGTTGGGCCATGGTGGCGGGCTCCTGTAATCCCAGCTGAGGCAGGAGAATCACTTGAACCTGAGAGGCAGAGGCTGCAGTGAGCACAGCACTGCACTCCAGCCTGAGTGACAGAGGGAAACTATGCCTCCGAGAAAAACCAAGCGGACAGACAAATACATTTTACACTTTCAAAGATCAAATTATTTGTGATTATAGTGCTCATCATTTACTGAGCATATAATCCCTACCAGTAGTTTCACTAGATACTTTGTAAATGCCATTTCTGTCTATCCTTCAACAAGCCTCTAAATTAGATGTTCTATCCACTTTATGGATATGAGAAATCTAAGAGAACTGACTAACCCACTCTTAGATTTCTCATCTATGAAGTTGACAAAATAGCTCATTTACAGGCTTTGTAATTTCTAAAATATCATATAGCTAGGATTGTAAATTGATCCTGGTACTTTTTGATTTTTTGAGTTAAAGTTCATGCTGAAGCGTGTTGGGTTGACAGGCATTCTGAAATTCAGCACAGGGCATAAGCAAAATGGCATCTTTTCCTACTGGGGTAAAGGAGCCAGACCACCAAAATAATCGGTTCTTTAAACCTCCTTTCTGATTACTCACATCCTCAAAACTTTATGAACTCTTAACATGATATCGTGTACACTGGAAAAATGCAATGTATATTTTTAATAAAAATGGAGTGGGTTTTAGGAGATCTAGAGCAGTGACAGCTGACATCCAAACTGTTCTATTTCACGCGAGGAGGTTTCCATCTTCCACCATCACGACCTCCACCTTCCTGCTCTTCACTCCTCCTTACTTTACTGATCTAGTTACTGTTTTTCTCTCTTCCAATTCAGACTCAAAGTGACAGGACGGGACAGAATGAGGCAGAAATCACAGGGTTTGTAAGGCCTGGAGAATGGGGTCCACACAAACCTTTGGACCACTTTTTCTCAGGGGTAGACTTGATGCTCAGATGCTAATGTTCTGTGCTGGACCTGTTTGGGTTCCTCCTCCTCATTCACTCTTGCTCCTGAGCATCACCTGCTCTGACTTGTAAACGTTCTTCTAACATCCCCTAACACAAAGGAGTTAACTGAAGCTCTGAGAGGCCTGGAGGTCAGTCATGGACCTTCACATTATTTGACTTTAAACAAATCTTGAAAGATTCATCCCCCTCAACATGGCACTTGTGTGCATGTAGAGGCATTCATCTCACACAACTACAAAAGAAGCAGCAGTGTTTGCCAGAAATCATGGGATTCCTCTCTTTTCCCTGGGCTCCAGGTCTGAATTGCCAGGCCGGCTTTGTCAGGAGTGATATATGTAAGAGTCATGGCTGGGTGGGGCTGGATTGTGCTATGTGTGGCACATAAGGGATGAAAGTGAGAGATATTTCTTAATTACAAATGTATGTTCTTTATTCTTCAAAGTTTGGATTCACACCTCTCTATTCCATTTTTCTGCACAAAATCTCACTGTATCATTAATGGATTTGTCCAGTGCATTGATAATATCATAATCTATCCACTCTAACCTGATTAAGCATGCACTTGTCATTTTAAAAAATGAGGAAACTGGCATACATGTTTCAGCAAAGAATTTGCCACACCTGCATTGTGTATGCAGCTGGTTTAATTACAGACATAATGTATTTAGCATAGTATGTACAAAGCTGCATCACACCTGAACATCTCATTTGATATATTTCCTGAGACCTATTTGCTACTGTTCTTTCCTTTGTGACTGTCCTTACAGAATTAATATTTTTATAACTATTATATAATTAATTATACTTTAGGACCTAATTGAAACTGCAATCTTATTCCATCACATTTGGAAATGAGTGTACGCTTATAGCTCCTTTTGAAGATAATGAGGCATCACAGAAGGAGTCATGATCTACATTTCCTTGAACATCCAGAAAGCAGAAATTACGATACTGTGACTGGCCCTGGCTGTGTTTTGATGAGATTGTCTTGGTCATCACTTTCTCAGTTTCTTAGCACCAAGTTCTTGGGTGACCAGTTGCACAGAACACCACTTGCATTACTGAATACAAACTGACTTGGGGTCTATAGGGTGACGGTGGTTGAGGGTTGACAGCAGTGCTGTAGGAACAAGACTTGAATCACAGAGGGAGTCTACATGGAGCAATGTGGTGATATATTTCCAAGCACACAATTTCTACAACAGGTCAACTGCAATTCCCACACAGCTAACCCAGCCCTAAAGTGAATATTGAGTAAAAGCAATCATATCTTTATTCCAAACCATCTGAATTTGCTGATTTTTATAAATATGTTATTTTATTCTATCAAATAAATTCTACTCCTGGATTCCCTAAAACAACTCCTGCATTACTTGGTAGGTCAAGCTATCAAAAAATTTGCATAATTACTTCATTTGAAGTTATTAAACTGCTAAGGCAGCAAAATTCATTAAGCTACATTTTACTAAATTCTAATCATTAAGTGAAACAATATTTTTCCCTCAAAAAAGGTAATAGTTTCCCGGAAATATTCTTCATGGCTTTATTTCCTCTGCTAATTGATCCAGGTCATTTAATTCAATAATTTTTATAAAGGTAAAATTATAGGAGTTTAATTGACTTTTGCTTAGCTTCCAATTATGTCTAATTTGTTTCTGTTCAGTCTCATTAGATCCAGTTATGTTTGGACTGATAGTAATTACTCCCAATAGTTAATGTACTTTAAAATAAGGACTCTCTTCTGTTATTTTCAAGTAATTTTTCATCAGGGTTAGGCAGGGCTTCTTAATCATATTAATACAAATGGTTTCCTATGTGCATGAGTAAGTTTGCATTTAGTACGTAGGCAATCCTATGTAACTTAGCAAAGCTAGCAAGTCCCTAGACATGGCGCAGCCACTGTAGAGGTGGCCTCCCACTAGCATCATTAATATCAATTGTAATTGGTAGGCAATCACTTAGTTTCACATTTCATTACCCGAGTTATACAAATGTGTAAAAAAAATACAGTTTTAATAAAAGGGAGTAAAGGATAATATGAGTAATATTCACAATCTCTAGTTGGAAGAGGTAGTGTTTTCTCAGAAATGATGCATTCCTGGAGCAAGGTCATTTTGTGTTTGGTTTGTTAAATATCTATTTCCATTTTGACAAACCATTGGAAAAGCCCAGCTTCACAAGGACTCTCCATGAAAGCGATCACACAAAAGAACACCCATAACACAAAATCAAAACAAGGGTGGTCCGGGCTTCACATTAAAGACTCATTACCAAGTTTTCTTAGAAGAGATAAAGAACACAAAGTTACTTTTATGTGATGGAAAACAGAGAGAAAGAGTAAATGGAACAATAAGCGTTAGGAAACAGCAGTGAAAAACAAGCTGTGGGAAAAAAATGAATAGAATTATGTTTTGTTTGCTATTGATTTCCTATCCTGATATCAGAAAATATGGGAAAGAACAAGGCACATTTTTTGAGACAAATAGAACATAAAATAAATGAGTGTTAAAGATTATTTTGCAGTGAGAACAAAAATATCTGTGACTTGTTTCTTCCCTTCAAAAATAAGATTTTGTACAATTACATTTATATAAATTATAGAAATAAAATTGTAAAGATGGAGAACAGACTATGGGGTTGCCAAGGGGAACGGGTGGAGGAAAATGTGTCAGAGTGTCCACAAAGATTGCAAGTTGGAGCCTGGTGGTGAGGCTACAGTTCTGTATCTTGACGGTCGAGGTTGTAGTTACAGAGATCTACACGAGATAAAAATGCACAGAACACATGCACACACACACACACACAAATACATACAAAAACAAATGTGTACAAAATGGTTGTGATCTGAGCAAGCTTTCTGAATTGCACCTATGTCAGTTTCCAGGTTTTGATATGCTCTATGGCTATGCGAGATGTCACCGCTGGGAGAATTAGTGAAGAGTACCTAAGACATCCCTGCACCTTTTGCAACTTCCTGTGAATCTATAATTATTTCAAAAGAAACTTGAAAGTCGAGTATAGCAAGGACTAAATCCATCACTTCAAAGACGAAAAAACTGAAGATGAATGAAACTGTTGAAGAATATCAAATACTCAACAGTCCGTATGAGAGCTGTATTCTGTCCACTCGAAGCTCAGCTGTCATTTAGGCTTTTCCTGACGTGCCCTGGAGGACTTGAGCTCCCCTTGGATTGCCAAGGCCTATAATGTTTATTTGTTACTAACTTTGTACTGGACCCCCCAAAAAATGAAAAGTGATCGAATAATCATTTATAATAACAACTAGTACTTTTACTTATAAAGAGACAATAGTGGTAATGAATTTAAATATTTGGGGTAAAGAATAGGATCTTGGTAAGACAATATTGGCAAAATATAAAACAGAAAAAATAAGGAATCAGAAACATAAGTAGTTCAGTATTGTGAAAAAATTCTGGATCTGAGCAGCAAAAGAACAGAGATTGTATTGCGTTTCTGCTCCAAACCTGCTGAATCACCTTAGGCAATGCATGCCCTTTCCCTGAATCTGTTTTCTTTTCTACAAAATAAAGTGAGCCAAATCATCTCCAAATATTCACATTTTTCGACTCTACATGGACTTCAGTTGAATTGCTAATTTCAGTTTGGATAATACATGTGTGCTGCACCACAAGTGGTGTGTCTAAACCCTCATGTTGGTCCTAAAAATAATTAAATCTAGCATTTGGCAGCTGGAAGCCATTGCAATCTTTTAAGTATTCCTGAAGCTTATTTTATCAGTGTATCAAGATAAAATGCTAATAACGCGGTAGATATAAAGTCTGTTAGCAACTATCAGTGCTGTGTTATCTCAGAAGACTTTGTAAGGATAATGATAAGAAGTGGATCAAGTAAAACAGCCTGAATTGACCCCCAAGATCCACTAAAATGATTAACTATTCCATTCATGAAAATTCACTACAGTCAAACTATCTAAACTTGCTGTTCCTGAGCTGATGTTATTCCAGTTCTACATGGCAGTATTAATTGCACCTTCATTTGGCTAAGCATCATGAATAACAGCAGTCTTAACAATGTATCGCCACTTCCTTATATACCTGTTTACACTTGTGATCATAATAATGTCAACTTTAATACTCTCACCAAAAAAATGTTGAAAAAAATACCCCTTTTGCAACGTAAAGCTAAAGATCTAGGCTTGCATAAATGATCAAAAGCTAAAAGGTAGCACCAGTAATCTCTGTTAGTGCTGCAAAAAGACATCAAGTTCAGTATCAACTTAATAAAAAAGACAGTTATTAACCAGCAACTGAACTTTAAAGTTATCATGTTGCTTGCAACTGAAATACGAGCCTATTCACAAACACAGACGATATTCACATGAACATACCTGCTAAACTCTACCTGACCTCACCATGAGAGTAAACCGGGAGGAGGGGTAGAGATGATAGCTCTCCATATATAATGCTTGAATCTCCAGGAGGCAACAGAAGAGGATCATTGCCCCACCATGGCTCCTTCCCATCTGTTTTGATCATCCAGGCAGACCTATAGTGAAACAAAATGAAAGCACTAACAGTTTCCTGGGCTGTATTTTTCTTAGTATCCTACAGAGAAACACCTAGTCACACTGCCACTGACTGCACTCCTAACCCTGGATTTTGCATTCTCACTCTGTGGGTTACAAGAGGCAAACAGCAACGTAGATCCATCGCTATCATCGGATATAATTCAAATAAGAAACTTGCTGTGGATGGCTGATCATAACAATAACATGATCTGGGGGCATCAGAAGTCCTGCTTGACTCTTATTTTCTAACATTTTTGCAGGCTGCTGGCTGACCTCCACCCCACTTCAGGAACAACAGGATAGACTACAGCTGGGCCGATCCATAAACTCACCAGTAGCCCAGGAGATGGCCTGACATGAAAAGTTCTGCACAAGCAGGAGCAAAATGAGCCAATAGCTCCACTTGCATTCTGTTGGTATCCTGCATGTTATTTTCACAGAGCAATACAAGTTTCTGCTGTACTGCACGCACATATTACTCACTTTCTTTGCTGCCATGATGCTTAAGTATTTCAACTGCATTTTTAAGTAATATATCTTTCAAAACTTAGCCTAAAAATTGCATGATCTCCAGTTGTAGCTTCAGAAGTCTGTTGAAAAGTTTGTCTAAGACAGTAGGCTTTAAACATTGAAATAACTCCTTGGTCCACTAGCTGGACGATTAAAGTTGTATTTGTTAGTAAAAAGCAGCTTTTTAACATTTTCATGGAAGTATCCAAATGAATAAAGTTGACTTGGACACTTATCCAACAGTGATGGTGCTTTAGAAGTTAAATTATGTGAGTTTATGACTGGAGGACAAGTAGTTTACACAACTACACACCTTGATATCTGTCTAAACTAAATTCATACAGATGCACAGGTACACAGCGACAAATAACCAGCACACTTTCACAGAGAGAGCATGATTGCTCACTGATCATCATGCTTGTCCATTAAATACTTACTAATTTTTGTACTAAAAACCAGCATCAAAATTTTTACTGAATGAAATTACACGTAGTTAATACACTGTGGAAAGTGAAATTTGCACTGTGTCCATGAAGGAATTATACATGTTATCTAATCAAAGCACAGTAACAAAAATTCCTGCATATAAGAACCACGAAAAGCCAGGACTGCTTATATACTGCTGTAAGATTTTTATATTACTTGGGAGATGATATAATAGTACTTAAGAATAAACTGTGATAAGTTAACAATATATATGGTAAACGCTTGAGCAATAACTTTAAACAAAAATACATAGTGCAACTATTGAGCCAATAGTTGCAATAAAATGTAATACTGATATGGTTTGGCTGTGTCCCTAACCAAATCTCATCTTGAATTGTAGTTCCCATAATCCCCACGTGTCCTGGGAGGGACCTGGCAGAAGGTAATGATACTTATTGAGCATCTACTATATCAGGTGCAGCCAGTGTAGCTCTTGAACGAGACAGAGAAAATTATCATACCTCTACCAGGGTCATATTTGATCTTCATTTATCTACCATTTATAACATTTTATTTGTCTTTTATTGGAAACCCTTCAAATCCTTTCTGAAGTAGATATAGTTGAAATAAAGATATAAGTTGAGACTGAGATCATATACTGTGTTATTTCCCTTGCAAATTCATATTAATTATAGTGAATATCTCATTTTGTTTTTCTTTTTGTTTGGAGAGAAGGAGTAGTTCCTGTCTTGCTACTTTTCTTTCTAACCGTGCCATGATTTAAGTTCCTTCATTCATCATGTTGGCTCTCTTGAAGATAAATCCAGACACCTGCCTTACACTGGAAGCAGCAAGGGCTTTTCCTCGCCGGCTCCCGTGCAGCTCTCAGGCAGGCCTGTGACCAGCCCATGGCTTTCAGTCGCTCTCCCTCCAGGCTTGGACTCTTGATCCGTGATGAGAGAACAGCAGAGGCACGTGATATTTATCACAGCACCAGTGCGCTGAGTGAACCCTTCCTGCCTAGAGACGAATGCAGGGTCCTTGCTTCCCCAGTCCCTTTGATTTCTATTTCCAAGCCTAGTTTCTCAGCTTCCAGTTTATTCTTTGAGCCTTGCTCTCATTGCTACCACCAACATTTTTCAGGAAATTCCCCTTTCTTTTCATGTTATTTTCAGATGGTTGCAACTAAAGAGCACTAAGCGACACTCTCCAAACTCAACTGGGCCCTGCTATTCCCAGTGTTCCCAATGAGAAAGAATACATGGAGTCCCACAGAAGGAGGGGTCAGAGTCCTTAGCTACGGGAGGAGACCACTCCTCATATTGTCTTATGCGCAATTTCTGCCTCCAAAGAAATAAGAAGTAAAAACTAAAAGGCAGAAATGAAATCCACAGGCAGACAGCCCAGTGCCACACACTGGGCCTGGTAGTTAAAGATCGACCCCTGACCTAATCAGTCAGGTTAATTGTAGATTACAGACATTGTATGGAACAGCACTGTGAAAATCCCTGTCCTGTTCTTCTCTGTTCTAACTACCAGTGCATGCAGCCCCCAGTCATGAACCCTCAGCTTGCTCAGTCAATCACGATCCTCTCACGCAGACCCCCTTAGAGTTGTGAGCCCTTAAAAGGGACAGGAATTGCTCATTCGGGGAGGTCGGTTGTTGGAGACGTGAGTCTTGCCAACGCTCCCAGCCGAATAAAGCCCTTCCTTCTACAACTTGGTGTCTGAGGGGTTTTGTCTGCAGCTTGTCCTGCCACAAGCCAGCACTGGACACTCAAAGTCTCTTATGCAATAAGCACTCAATAAATATTGGTGAAAGGAAAAGGGTGGAAAGGAGGAGGGAAGAGAAGAAAGGACAAAGAAAGAGAGGAAAAGAAGGAAAGGAGGGTGGGAGGGAGGAAGGAAGAAAGAGAGGGAGGGAGCAAGAAGGGAGGGACAGAGGGAAAAATGTAGGGTGGGTGGGCAGGAGGAAGGGAGAGAGAAAAAGATAAAGGGAGGGAAGGGAGGGAAAGGGGAGGGGGAGGGAAAAACACAAGGGCATAGGAATAAATCCCAAATGACCATTTCTGGCAAAAAATGCTGAGTTAAAAAAATCATGGGAGAACACCCCTTTGTTTAGGTACCTGCTATCTCTTAAAAGAACACAGAAATTATAGTTTATATATTTTACATGAATATTGAGGAAAATAAGGATCTGAAGGATATGCATAGAAATATATGAAAATACAAAATTGGTGCCTAAATTCAGAAAAGCTGGTAAATATTAATGAAGTAAAATAGCGGGCAAAGACATGTGGGAGGGGAGTGTGACTTAGAACGTAGACCTGAATAAAAAAATAAAAAGTTATTTTAAAGTTAGTTGAAGGACTAAGGGTGGAAATCCATAGGATTCCTGCTTTTTTTCTGTCTATGCTACTTTGGCAAGTATAGTGCATAAAAGACATAAGGAAGATTGGGAAAATCATGGATGATCTTTCTACTTAAATGAAATTGTATCCAAAACCAAAAAACAAAAACAAGAGTGAGAGATAGAACTTTTTCTATGGGTTTCCCACTGTGGAAATCTCCCTACAGACACTTCATGTGTTCTTTGATTATTTGGCTGGTTGGATTATTTTCTCTCTCTTCTGGCTGTTTGCTAACTGAGGTTTTCATTACAGAGGCCCTCTATCGTCCGGGTACCAATTCCTGATTAATAAAAAGATACCATCTCTTGACATGGTACCCTCCAGGTTTGATTGACGCTGCTTTGAGCTTTGAGCATGCATCGGTTATGTGACCCCGGGCCTCTTGTTTGCTCAACTGTTTTCATTTTGTGGTATAGAAACTTTACATGTCCAGCCACTACTAAGCAGAAACACAAAGAAGCAATTATCTGTTCAATTGATGTTTCCCAGATGCAAGTTATTTAATGCTTTTATTAACCCTTAGAGTGGCATGTTATTCAGTCTCCACACCAGGTGAATATTCGGTAGGAAACGCAGCTCCTATACACACAATATTGTCATTTAAAATTAAAGGAAAAAATTAAAATGTCTCTCCAGCCAAACAAGCCCTTTTTCAGCATTTTTACATATTATGAAATATAAATCTAAGGCAACTTTTAGGTTGTTTACAGAGAATAAAAAGTTATCTTTAAATCTAGGGCTTAAAATGAATAATTAGAGGTAAATCTAGTTGGCTTAATCAAAATAACTGCTATAGGAATTACATATAATTAGCGTCCAAATAAAATCCTTAGCCTACTCTATACAGGAAAGTAATATAAATATTAGATAGGAAAATATCAATTCTCTCTCTCATGTCTTCTCAAGATCACATTTAAACCCTTGATCTTTCTTGTCATTTCAAGCACAAGCCAAAATACAAGCCAAAACACAAGCAAATCATGAATTTTAAATCTTGATTCCAAAAGCCACTCTCCTAGTCTGGTTGGAAAAATAACAAAGCTATGTTCTGTATTTTATCACTGCACATTTAGGCCACAATCATTCAAGTGTTTTGCCAACAATGAGCACAGCACAAGGTACCAGAAGGCAATGGGTAGACAACCTTTCGACAGCTTATTCCAGCACAGACTCACGCAAAACAAAATGCTGCCAGAGCCAAGTCCCCTTTCGGCTTCTTCCTGGCTTTGTACAATCTTATTCCTCACTTAATTTCTCCATCCTGTTCCCTTCTCTCTGCCCCTAGTAGCCCCTGTGACTCACGTAAGCCTTTCTCAGGCCAGCAGGCACGTGGGAGCCTCACCCGGCCTGGGGCCAGCAGATGAACCAGGAGTGTGACCCAGGTCCCAGCAGTAACCAGAGGTGACAGGGCAAGGGCTACAGTTTAAGCACTTTGAAGATGAGACTTCTGACCACATGGAGAGAAAATAAGCACCAACTTATACCCTTTGCACAGGGTACAGTAGAGCCACCAAATCGCAGTCAGGAGCCAGGACCTCTTCACTGGATGCTGTCCTCACTCATATCGCCCCACACCGGGTCATGGCGGTCTTTGTGCATCACTTTCCACCTCTTTCCTTTATCTTTGTCCTATTCCACCATTGCTTCTGCTTCCTTCCCCAAGACTGATCATGTATGTCCCAACTGAAAAAGAAAAATCTCTTTTCTGAACCCTGCATCAGTCTCTACCAGCGGTCCTCACACAGGGCAATGCCCTTCCCACCCCCACCAGAGGACATTTAGCAACATCTGGAGACCTTTACGTTTGTCACCGCTAGGGGAGGGGTTGCCACTGTCATGGGGTGTCCAGGCCAGGGATGCTGCCAAACCTCCTACAAGGCACAAGACAGCCTTCCCTCCCCAACAACAAAGAATTGTGTGGCCCAACCTGCCCATAGTGCTGAGGGAGCAAGTCTGCTTTGGACACCACTCTCTAAACTTCCCAACTGAACTCCCTGCGTGTTGTCTACACTTAGTGGTTTGCGCTTTCTCCCTCCCAACTCACGCTGAACAGCAAGGATTGGTTGGCTGCCTTCTCTGCTGCACACACACAGCTCTTGCAAATGGCACACCCAATTCTACAGAAAAACGCAGCAGATACTGCAGAGGAGAAATGCAGGTTCTCTCCTCTGTTCTTTGCTTTTACACAAAGATAATCTTCTCACCAAGACTGCTCTCAGTGTGACATCAGAGAGAAACCAGAATGGGACTTCACTGACATCACTCACCACCACAGAAATTCAACTAGCAGCTCTCCACAGGCAAGAATACCATCGTGCATGTCCCAGAACTCAGGACTAAGGCTGAGACACACTCCTGGACCCCAGAGCTAAGAAAAGCTGTTGCAATGGTAAAAAGTGGAGAGAGATGTTGAGCGCACACTCCTCCCCAACCTGGCAGAGCCTCACATGCAGAGATTCCTCTGGATCCGCAGTAGCACAGTGAGAAAGTGAGTTGGAGGCAGAAGTTCTGCTTCCCCACCATTCTGGGCCCCTTTGCAGGAGCTCACACTTGTGTTGTCCCACGGGAAATGCTTCCCCACCATTCTGGGCCCCTTTGCAGGAGCTCACCCCTGTCTTGTCCCACGGGAAACGCTTCCCCACCATTCTGGGCCCCTTTGCCGGAGCTCACACCTGTCTTGTCCCACGGGAAATGCTTCCCCACCATTCTGGGCCCCTTTGCAGGAGCTCACGCCTGTCTTGTCCCACGGGAAACGCTTCCCCACCATTCTGGGCCCCTTTGCAGGAGCTCACTCCTGTCTTGTCCCACGGGAAATGCTTCCCCACCATTCTGGGCCCCTTTGCAGGAGCTCACGCCTGTCTTGTCCCACGGAAAATGCTCCCCCGCCATTCTGGGCCCCTTTGCAGGAGCTCACTCCTGTCTTGTCCCACGGGAAATGCTTCCCCACCATTCTGGGCCCCTTTGCAGGAGCTCACGCCTGTCTTGTCCCACGGGAAACATTGGGAGTGCCCACAGGGCCAGTCAGAAACAAAAACAGGTGGGGCTCACAGCAAACAGGGCACAGATCGGGCCTGGCCCATGGAGGTGGCACATCAGAGAAACTAGCCAGAGGCACCACGCCACAGGAAGCACCCCCACAGGTGCTCCAGGCTCAGCCCCCAGCGTGCTTCAACGCCCTTCAGAATAGCAAACCCTCGCAGATCCAGCATAGAGGGAGCTGCCTCAGCACAGGAGAGACGCCCATGCCACACCCATAGCTAACGTCATTCTCAATGGTGGAAAGTCGAAAGCGTTTCTCCTAGGATCAGGGAGAAGGATGCCCACTCTCACCACTCCTACTCAACATAGCACTAGAAGTCTTAGCAAGAGAAAGAAACAAAAGGCATTCTAATTGAGGGAAGAAGTGAAATGTCTCTATTTGCGGACAAATTGATCTTTTATATAGAACGCCCTAAAGGCTCCACAAAAAAACTGTTAGGACATATAAACAAATTAAGATTTCAGGATATAAAATCAACGTACAAAAATCAGTAGCGTTCTATATACTAATAACAAATATTTAAAAAGTAAATTTCAAAAAAAATCCCATTTACAATAGCAACAAAATAAATAAATACTTAGGTATTAATTTAACCCAGGAGGTAAAAGACCTGCATACTGAAAACTATAAAATGCTGATGAAAGAAAATGATGAAAACACAAATAAATAGAAATATTTTCCATGTTTATGGGTAGAAGAAATAATGTTGTGAAAATGTACAAACTACCCAATATGTTCTATAGATTCAGTCCAGCCCTTATCAAATATTCAAGGTCATTTCTTACAGAAATAGAAAACACAATCCTTAAATTCATATGGAACTACAAAAGACCTTAAATAGCCAAAACAATCATGAAGGAAAAGAACACAGCTGGAGGCATCACACTCCCTCATTTTAAACTCTTTTAGCAGTTGCAATTAGTACACCCTAGAATTGGCATAAAAAACAGACAAATCAATCAATGGAACAGGATGGAACACCCAGAAATAATCCCCCACATTTATGGTCAACTGATTTTTGATGAGGGTGCCAAGAACACACAATGGGGAAAGGAGAGTCTCTCCAACAAATGATGTTGGAAAAACTGCATATCCACATGTGAAATAATGAAATTAGACCCTTATCTTATGACATACACAAAAATCCACTTAAAATGGATAAAAGATTTGGCCTGGTGTGGTGGCTCATGCCTGTAATAGCAGCAATTTGGAAGGCTGAAACAGGTACATCACCTGAGGTCAGGAGTTTGAGACCAGCCTGGGCAACATGGTGAAACCCCATCTCTACTAAAAATAGAAAACTTATCCGGGCGTGGTGGCAGGTGCTTGTAATCCCAGCTACTCAGGAGGCTGAGCCATGAGAATCACTTGAACCCAGGAGGCGGAGGTTGCAGTGAGCCGAGATCACACCACTGCACTCCAGCCTGGGTGGCAGAGTGAGACCCTGTCTCTAAATAAATAAATAAAATTTTAAAAATGGATAAAAGACTTAAATATAAAAACTGAAATTCTAAAATGACTAGAAGAAAACATAAGGGAAAGTTCTATAACGTTGGTGTGGACAATAATTTTTTTTGGATAAGACCCTGAAAGCACAGGCAATAAAAGCAAAAACACACAAATAAAATGGCTTCAAACTCAAAAGCTTCTGCACAGCAATGGAAACAATCAGCAGAGAGAAGAGACAACCCACAAAATGGAGTAAAACATTTGCAAATCATACATCAAATAAGCAGCTAATGTCCAAAATATAAAAGAAACTCAACTCAATAGCAAGAAAACAAATAATTAGATGATGTTAAAATGGGCAAAGGACGCAAAGTCCTCAAAAGAAGATTTACAAGTAGCTAGTTGGTACATGGAAAAATGCTCAGCATCTCTAATTATTAGAGAAATGCAAATAAAAACCACAATGAGTTATCACCTCACCCCTGTTGGAATGACTATCATCAAAAACATGAAAAATAAATGTTGGAGAGGATGCAGAGGAAAGGGAACTCTTATGCGTAGTGGAAATGTAAATTACTACAGCCATTGTGGAAAATGACATGGAGGTTCCTCAAAAAACTGAATATAGAACCAGTAAATGATGCAGTAATCTCGCTTCTGGGTGTGTATCCAAAGGAACCGAAGGTAGGTCCAAGAGACGTCTGCACATCCATAGTTATTGCAGCCCTATTCATAACAGCCAAGATGTGGAATCAACCTAAGTGTCCATCCGTGGATGAATGGATAAATGTGGTATATATACAATGGCATACTATTCAGCCTTTCAAAAGAAGGAAATCCTGTCATTTGTGACAACATGGATGAATCTGGAGGACTTTATGCTGAGAGAAATAAGGTAGGCGCAGAAAGACAAATACCCCATGATCTCACTGGCATGTGAAATCTAATAAGGTTGAACTCATAGAAGCAGGAAGTAGAATGATGGTTACCAGAGGCTGACAGGTGCGGGGTGCAGGAAGACAGGGAGTGAGGAGTTGATGATCAAAGAGAACAAAGTTTCAGATAGACAGAGGGTTGGTGATCCATTGCATAGCAAGGTACTGTAGTCAGTAATGATGTGTCATATATTTCAGAATAACTAAGAGCATAAATTTCAATTGTCTCACCATGAAAGAGAACAGGTAAGCAAGGCGATGAATATGTTAGCTTGATCTAATTATTTCATCTTGTATACAATTATCAAAATATCACATTGTATCCCACAAACGTATACAGTTATGATTTGTCAATCAAAACAAATGTTAACGATATTTTTTGTTCTGAGACAGTCTCACTCTGTTGCCCAGGCAGGGATGGGGTGGTGCAATCATGGCTCACTGCAGTCTCAATCTCTCAGGCTCAAGTGATCCTCCTGCCTCAGCCTCCTGAGCAGCTGGAACTACAGCCACGTGCAACCACACTGGACTAATTTTTTAAATTTTGTGTAGAGATGGGATTTTGCTATGTTGCTCAGGCTGGTCTTGAACTCCTGGACTCAAGCTATCCTCCATCCTTGGCCTCCCAAATTACTAAGCTTACAGGCAGGGGCCGCTGCATCCAGGCAACTTTTTAAAAAAAAACTATGTTCTCTGCTGGTTTCTGTGACCTCGTCACATCATTGTCATGGTCATTGATTCCTGAAGTGTGAACTCTAAATGTCTTTGTCTGGCTCCTAGGACCCTTGTCTACATGCCCACCATTGAATCTCATAGGTCCTCCCCTCACACCTTGCTTTTCGGTTGTGCAAACCACTTATCAATTCCCAAAGAGGCTGAGCACACTCTAATCTTTCCTTTTCTGCCCAGATCCCTCCCCGCTAATGCTGATTAACCATTTTCCACCTTTCAAAATTCAAGACAAATGTCTCCTCCTCTGTGACAGAATTCTGGGCCACCGTCAGTGCCTTCCTCTTGCCTGACAAATATCTTGTCACACTTCAATTTCTACACTTGCTATACCTATGTGTTCATATGTCTATTACAACCTCCTCTCCATGCAAATGGAAGGCCCTGGATCTGGGTTCTCTGTACTTTTGTACACCGAGAGCCCAGCACAGTGTCTGGCAATTAGTTGGTACGAAATAACAAAATATGGCAAAACAAATAAATAAAATACATGATTTAAAAGCAGACAATGTAATTGTCATTTGAACAAGTTCTCCAACTTTATTCTATTACCTTTAAATTCTCTTTTTCCTTTCTTCCCCATCCTTGCAAATGAAAAGATCCATGTACTATCAACCTTCCTCTCAAGGCTTGGGGTTTTAATGAGTCAAGGTAATAAATTTACCTGTTTTGGAGAGGAAAGAGCTGAGACAGAGAGGCTAAGTAACTTACCCGAGTAGGAGCTGCGACCTAAAGTCTGTATTTCTGACACTGCACTGATCCTAACCCAGGCAGTGAAGGTCCAGGGAAGTGAAATAAGACACACTGGACCATGACGATACATGGGAGGGAAATCTGTGAAAGACAGAGAAACAGAGCTTAGTGCCCAGGGTGGGATCTTAGGCTATTCTGGGTGATGGTGAGTGGGCAGGCCAGCAGCATTAAAGCAGCAGTAGGAGGCAGGGATGGGACCCTCGCCATAACCCGCCTCTAAGGGAACTCACTGCAGGGTGAGCATGGCCCAGCAGTGACCCGTCAGGCAGGTGTAGCAGATATTTTGCATGACTCTGATGCACTGCTTCCATTTTTTTAAGGGAGTGGTTGACTCACAGTCGGTATACCGGGGGTGACCCAGGCTCTGGTCTGCCGCAGTAACACTGGTCACATGCTCCCCGGAGCGCAATGGTAGCTGGTTGAGCATCCTCTCCAATTACGGTTACCTGCTTCTCATTCTCACGGACACACAGGCTTCTGACAACTTTTCCGATTGCACAAGATCATTTTTGAGGCTTCATTCCCTCCCCCACAGTAAAGAACAGACCCTAAATCCTCAGCTTGGTCTAAAAAAAGTATTCTAAAATACGTACATTGATTTTTTCAACTGAATGTTTTCAACTAAATCAACTCAATGGAAAGTGAAAAGGGAATTTTTGTTTGTTCAATAGTTTGCCCAAAGGATTGTATCATTTCTTTAAAGTAAATTTTAGTCAAAAAGTAGGTTTATATAAAATTCTAACAAAGTTGCTTTCTTCTGGAAAAAACAAGTCCTGTAAAATACTGTGTATTTATATATAAAATAACAGATAATATATACTATATATATATGTATATCACACCGTATAATATGTACTATATGTATATAAATATTTTATAAGGAGAATTTTATTCCTATGACATAATGGTGTTACAATTTTGAAAACCAGAAGTAGGGTCTAACAATGTGTTAAAAATATTTGCACTAAGTGTTAATTGATGCATTAATGTCATTTTCATCTTTCCCCAACAAATATTTAACATTCAATACTTATACATATCCCCTGGTAAATGAACTTTCTTATTTGCCAGCAAAGGTCCTTAGAAAAATAGACTGAAAAGAAATAACTTCTATCTAAAGATGTTTCAAAAGCTTCACACAACTTACAGAATGGATAAAAATGTCCCATAACTTACAAGGGTAAATTAGCATGTGAAGGGTAAATATCATTTTACTTTAATGTCTCTCAAAAATCAAAATCTTTCCTTACCATAATTCTTAACCTAAAAAGCAATTAATAAGCAATGTTTTATAATGTTTCTGTATCTTGGGTGTGCCTGGGGAACTATTTGTGTTCTTCTTAACTGAGCTGTATAAGCAAGTAAAAAGCTGCTCTGAGAAATCATTCGGGTTTTGAAACCAAAATGATTATTAGATTAGGTCAGAGAGATCCACAGCCAAATTTATCACGCTCATATGTCTCTTTTTATCTGCCAAATATAATTGCTTGTTATTTGTCTTTTTAAAATATAAAATAAAGTTCAGTGCGCAAATAAAAATTCAATGCAGCTCAATACATGAAAGTTGTTTTTACAGCGATTCAAATCAAAGCCATCCTGTCCAATCCCGCTCTCATTTAGAAAGGTTTCCATTGGAGCAGAAAGGTGGTAATGGCTGACAGCCAATCTGCAGTGGAAAAAATGCAAGCCTGTGACCTAGAAGGCACTGGTGTTCAAAGTCCTAATTACTCAGATGTCAGAAGTACAAGATTACAGGCTTTTATAATGTCAAGATAATTAAGATAGTTTGCAAAATTGCACCTGGTAAATTCTAAATTCAAGTGACCCCAGTGGTCTGCAAAAGAATATAAAGATGTCCTTGGTAGCCTTCTGCCTGTATCTCAGTGGTACTCTCTTCCTGCCTTTATCTCAGTGGCACTCTCTTTCTGTCCCTAATAATGCACACTGTGATCCCAAACCTGTACCTGTGAGTCGAGATGAACAAGATGGTGCACCAGCTCATGGGCTTCTGAGAAGAAAAGGAAAACAGGAGCCTGTCCCCATCCCACACTGTGCTGGAGACTTTCTTAGACACTGAACCACACTTCCACCCATTGTGTTGAAGACAAGAATACGGGGAGCCAGAGACGCTGAGGAAACGTGCCCAAGCCGGCGGCAAAGCTGAGATTTGCAGCAGCCCCATTAGTCTAGTAGACTCTGACTGACATCAGCTGAGGCCAGATTTAAAGAGATGAGCATTCATGGGAGCATCTGTTATTTTGTCACACCCTCCCTAACTCGGTTTTAAATAAACAACTCAAGTGAAAAGGGGCAATATTATATGAATAACTATCATATTACATTATTTGTATCGGAAGACGCTTTTGTTTTCCTCATATATTCTTGATGTCACATGACTTCAGGCCTTTATGCAAAATGTACAACTGCCACTGTTAAAGTATGTGCTGAAATTACAACGATTACCCTCTCACATCGACCCCCACCCATATGGGCTGGCCCACCCTATAAGATGCATTGTCATTAGTTATAAACTGAACACTCATTAGAGCTGACAAAATGTTGAACAGCAAGGTATCAAGAATTCCCTGTCATTATTTGAGGTTAAATTGTCCAAAGTGACTCAGCGCAAGGGAGAATAGGTGTATTGCTGGGACACTTTTTGTATTTCAGACTCAAAATTCTCTTGAAAGAAATACAACTCGAACTTAGCTCATCATATCAAGAGCCAGATCACATAATCCTTCTCACTGAATAAAATCAGATGGGTCTGACAATGAGGTTGGAAGCTTTGCCAAGAGCTTTTGCTGTAAGTTTCTCGAGGAGTGAGAGAGAGAGAGAAAGAGGATGCAACCTGAAGTTCAGGAGCAGCTATCACCACACAGTCAGCTCCTCCTGAATCCCAGCACCTCGAGGATTAGAGGGTCCTGTTCAACACAGTAGCCACTAGGCACCTGTGGGTATTGCCCACGTGAAATGGGCTGGTTCCAACTGAGGTCAGCTGCAAGTGCAAACTATGTCCTGGATTTCACAGATTTAGAGTGGAAAAGAATGCAAACTCTCTTATTACGTGTTTAATTGATGATTTGTTGACGTGAGATTTGGATATATCGAAGTAAGTAAAACGTATTATTAAAATTAATTCCACCTGTTTGTGTTTTACTTTTTTAATGAAGCCACTAAAGACAACTTACCCATATGTTCCAAATAATTGAAAGTAGGATCTTGAAGAGGCATTTTCATGTCCATGTTCATAGCAGCATTGTTCACAAAAGCCAGATTTTCAATAGCTGAATGGATAAGCAAAATAAGGTCTATCTGCATAATGAAACCTCATTCAGCCATAAAAGATAATGAAGTACTAATACATCCTACAACATGCATGAACCTTAATAACATCGTGGTAGGTGAAAGACGTCAGTCACAAAAGACCACATACTCTATGATTCCGTTCACATGAAAATCCAGAATGGAGGGGTCCACAGAGACAGAAAGGAGGTAAATGGTTTCTTAGCCATGGGGATGAGAAGATGGGGCCATTTGGAAAGAGTTCTAGGTTTCTTTTGGAGGTGATAAAAATGTTCTAAAATTGACTGTGGTGATGTTTGCACCTACTTGTGAATATATTGAAAACCATTGAGTCATACAGTTTAAGTGGGTGAGTTGTATGGAATGTGAATTATATCTCAACGAAGTTGTTTTTTTTTTTCTTAAAAAAAAAAAGAAAACTCTCAGGAAACTGATGGAAAGTTGAGAGAAGAGAATTTCAGGCAGAGAGAGTGGCACTTGCAAATAGGATCTGCTGTGAAGGAACAGATTTGTTCTTTCCCCTTGGATGGTGCTCCATGTCTCTGTCCTTAATTAAGACCCAGTCCAGGCTTTCATTGGGCCCCATGGCACTGGCATGGGACAAAGCTCTCCAGGCCTGTCTTGCCCAAAACACTGCTCGTACAACCCTTTATTGTGCATGCATGCAGACTCACTGAAGCTTCTACTGGAAGAAACAGAAAAACTACCACATAACAGGAAGACAGGGTAAAAAAAAAGTGCTCCTGGTGGAACACATTAACTTGCTAGTGATAATTAACCTTGTTATTAAGAGCCACAGTAATTATTACACAAAAATAATGTAACCATGCAAAGTAACAAATCAAATGGACATGTTTGTAAAAATGAGGATTGAGGAAGATTTTTTCTTACTGAACTGCATAAAAGATGTTGCATTTGAAGCATCAGAAAGTATTTCTCCACCAACAGCATCTCAAAAAAGTCAGAAATCTGACGAATACCATTCCCTTAAAGAACCAGACACTTTGCATGATTGCCTTTTACAGCCCTCACTGAGGCTGGAGACTTGCACAACTGAATCAAAAGAGATGGCTCAACTGCTCCAGGGAAAGGGAACTTTTGCCCTCTGATTCACTTAAAAAGCAGAATGATGGACAAGCCGACCTGCTCAGCCTGCAGGTGAGGGAGGGAATCCGAGCCGCTGGCACAGAGAGGAAAACCACACTGTTAGGTGTCCAGTTCACTTCATGTGCTCGCACCAGGGTGACGACAGCAGGCCTCACCCCAAAACGCAGAAATGCTAGCATGCTGTTCCCCTAAAAAGGAGCTGAAGAGTACATGATACAAACAGCACCTGCCATGTAACCCTCAAAAACATGAGGAAAATTACATGACACTTGTCAGTACTTTTTGTTGATTCAAATATCTGTGGATTTATTACGAAATTTGTTGACTAATCCCTCAGGTAGTAAAGAAGTCATAAAAACCTGAAGGCTATTATACAGCCTTTCCCACATTTTCAAATGTGTCCTGACCTCGACCAGGAATATTCTAGGGTCTGAAATGGTGATTTATGTGATCCTATAAAGTGACGTAATGAGACTGGCTATTAGCATATGTTCAAATACGTTCAAAGCCAGAACCTGGACATGCGATGTAGTGTTTAGGGCCTAATGAAGTAGACCCGATTGATCTTTCACAATTTCGAGAAGCAGGCAGGCGGCTCAGGGCAGGTAAGCAGCTCCACTGCATGAAGTCATCTAGGGCTCTGATACCCTTGACATTGCACTGGCTTTCCTCGGGATGTTCTAATCGTCCATGCCGTCGATACTGACTCCCCACCACACCCATGCTTAATCCTATGAGAAGAGAAACCGAGCCCCAAATCCCTCCTTTTAAGGGCCTTTCACTGCTGGGGGACTTAGATACATGGTCCAGCTTTTTCACTGGGGAGGCTGGGATATGCAGTCTCCAGCAGGCAGCCATATGCCCAACCAAAGCTCAGGAGAATGGGGCTTCTGAGTTTAAGGCAGACAGGGGAAGGGGCAGCAGAGGACAGTTAATGTTGCCATGCCTGACTTAGCAAAGCAGTTGTGTGTTTCTCCTTAGCACAGAAGGCTATGTGCTTTGAAATGATTGGATTTTCAAAGTCATTTGACCATTTTCTAACTCCTCTCCATCACTTCCTGTGCATTCTATAATTTCTCACCCTATCCCATTTTCCCAAACTTTTCCTCTGCATCCTGCTCGTATATATCAGCTCCCTAAATCCTCTCTTGCATACTGTAGTTCCTCTTTAAAAATTCTCTTCACCCCTAGCTATCAGCGAGCATGACTTTCCCAGCCTCCTTCTCCACAGGAATGTTTTTCCTCCCATATTGTACATAAGCCATGGCCTGCAGGTGGGGCAAGCACGCCCTTACTCCCACTGCTGTATTCACACGATATCTCCTTCTTTCTCCTCCAAAAGCCTCCAATTCCTTTGGAGCACACGCCATCTGACTACACCACCTGCGTTTCCCTGCCATCTTCAGACCCCCCACGTTCTTTCCTTCATCCACCACGGACTTCAGCGGCTGGCTCCATCTTCATCTCTACCTACTCTTGTTACCATTTTCAGTGACTTCAGCTTGCGCGTAGATAATCCACTGAGCAGTGAGCTCTCAAATCCTTAGCTTTCTCTCCCACGACACTCTTTCCTCCACCATCCCATGAGGCCCAGCCCCACGATCACGCCTTAGCCCTTGCCATGTAACAATAAATGCCCCACCCCATAAGACTGATACTGGCTGGGTGCAGTGGCTCACACTGTAATCCCAGCCCCTAGGGTGGGTGGATTGTCTGAGCTCAGGAGTCAGAGACCAGCCTGGGCAACATGGCAAAACCCCATCTGTACCCAAAATACAAAAAATTAGCCAGGCGTGGTGGCAGGTGCCTGTGGTTCCAGCTACTCGGGAGGCTGAGGTAGGAGAATTGCTTGAGCCTGGGAAGCAGAGGTTGCAGTGAGCTGAGATCATGTCCCTGCACTCCAGCCTGGACGACAGAGTGAGACTCTGTCTCAAAATAATAATAATAATATTAAAAAGACTGATGTTAACATCTCATTCTCCTACTAAGCCTTATCTTTCCAGCTCACTTACTCTGTGCTGCCTACTCCAACCATTTTCAACATTGTAAACCACAAATCCATTGACCTTAAAATGTTTTTATTATCTGTCATCCCCTCCTGGTCTTACTTTGAACTTTCCCACTTTGGGGTCCAGGGCCCATCATTATAATCACGTTATTCAATTTGATAAACTATAACCACAAACTTTGTTTCCATTGAATTCACACAGCAAAGCAATAACCTATTCAAACCAACTATTCACCTACTCAGCGCTGTTAACAAAAGATCATGAAATCTGCAGAGGAAAAAGGAAGAGCTTTGTTCTCTATAAAACAGTCAAAAAAAAAAAAAAGACAAAAAAAACTCCCGCAGACTGGGGAAGCACAAATGAAAGTGTGTGCACCGAAGAACAAAGGAAGGGTTTATGGATCAAATAGGAAAAGTTTTCTCCCAGGTTCTCTGTCACGTCTGTTTATGCAAATGTAGGATTCACGTGTGTTCAGTTCTTATGGGTTGAGATAGCCAAGCCCTGACTGGGTGGCTTCCCATCCCAACATTAGAAGTGCCTTTGTCAGGTGTTTTCTTTTAAAATGGCCAATGGGGTGGAGGTGAGGAGTCTAGCCACTGTTTTTCTTGGCTCTGGTCACAGAAAGCACATGAAGTAGGATGTTTGTGAAGAGATGGTTCTCCTCTCACCACCCCCTATGGCCGCTTGAATCTGTTATCTAAATTTGGGTGTCTCCATTAGTCACCAGGAGCCCATTTCCTCCGGAGAGCTTGAGGTCCCATTTACAATTCTATTTCACTGCACCATCAGCCAGTAGCTGAAGAAAATCACAAAGCCATAGTGACTGTCCACACTCTAAACTCAAGGTCACAAATCTGAAACACATACTTATCACCATCCAGAGGTTCTGCTACACTTCCCTTCTAAACAAAACTCCAGTATCCAAGACATCCAAGTATTTCACACTTTCTTTATGCTGCTGAAGCCTCCAATATTTCTTCTTCTTCCTTCTCTATAGAGAAGAGATAGAGGAATTCCATCTCCCCTCCACCAACTCCAACCTTCCAAGAGGATGGAAGCAACGTCAAGGTGTTCCCATTCCTGTCTCAAGGCAACACCTCCCCCAGCACTCGGGACCTCACCAGCTCTCAAGGCACAAAGGCTTTGTGCTTCAGCTGTTTTCCGCTCTCTCCTCTGCACCATCATAATGTCATCCACACAAGAGAATTCTCACCAACACACTAACCAACTCCAAGATATCCTTCCCTCTGAAACCCTGCCCTGAGCCAGTGTCTTTCTAGCTCTTTTCCTCATTTCCACTCCCTTGAATTTCATTCTCTTCCTCCCATTCTTGTCAGTGTCCTTCCCCACCACTCCCATAAAGCTCCTTTTATCATCGCCACCAGTGGCCTTCATGTTTCCAAACATGGTGATTCATTTTCTTTCTTTCTGCCGAATATGGTGATTCGTTTTCTTTCAGCAGCAGCCGACAGACCTGAGAATGCTTGTTGAGGCATTTCCTTCTATCAGCTTCCCTGCCACCTTCTCCTGTCAATCCCCTTGCTTCTCTGGCTACTCCTCAGTCTTCTCTGAGAGCTTCGGCTTCTCTGCCAGACTTCTAAACCCTGATGTTTGTCCTGGGCCTCCTCCCTTCTCTCTCTATCCTCCCTATCTCTACTTAAGCTAAGTTGGGTCATGCTTTCAAATACTATCATCCCTAAGTGCATGAGTTCCAAATTTATATTTTCTAGTCCTGACTAGCCATAGATTCCTAATAAGCCTCTGAAACTTAACACATCCAAAACATTAAATCCAAGAAAATAGAACTATCCACCCAGTTGCTTCAGCCAAAAGTCTAGAAGTCCCATTGTTTCCCCCTCACTTCCCACAATCAGCTCACCAGCTGAATCCACCCTCTTCTCTCTCACACCATTGCACCACCCAGTCTAACTCATGAACCATTTCCTCAAGTACTGTAATGACTTCTTAACTGTTTCTGTTTTTGCCCACTTATAATCCCTTTTCCACAGAGGAAACACAATAATCTATTTTAGGTATAAATAAAAGCAAGTCATTCTTTGGTTAAGCCTTCCAGTAGCTTCCCATTCCTCTTGGATAAAATTCAAACTCCTTACTATGTTCCACAAAGCCCTGTATTATCTGGCTCTTGTTTATCTTTCTATTTTTATCTCCTGCCACACTCTGCCTGGCTTACCGCATCTGCGTCACATTGACCTTCTGTGAGTATTTCAAATGCTCTTCATTCCTCACCACAATCCAAGCTCCTCTCCTTGCCTGTTCCTCACCACACTCCAAGCTTCTCTCCTTGCCTGTTCCTCACCACACTCCAAGCTCCTCTCCTTGCCTGTTCCTCACCACACTCCAAGCTTCTCTCCTTGCCTGTTCCTCACCACACTCCAAGCTTCTCTCCTTGCCTGTTCCTCACCACACTCCAAGCTTCTCTCCTTGCCTGTTCCTCACCACACTCCAAGCTTCTCTCCAAGCCTGTTCCTCACCACACTCCAAGCTTCTCTCCTTGCCTGTTCCTCACCACACTCCAAGCTTCTCTCCTTGCCTGTTCCTCACCACACTCCAAGCTTCTCTCCTTGCCTGTTCCTCACCACACTCCAAGCTTCTCTCCAAGCCTGTTCCTCACCACACTCCAAGCTTCTCTCCTTGCCTGTTCCTCCATCTGAAATGCTGTTCCCCTAGACAGCATTTATATCTTTATATCTGTCTCCTCCATGTTTAACAATTTTATGGATTTTTATTTGAAATTCACATTAATATTGATGACATTAAAGTACATATAAATTCATATCCATATTGTATTTAGATCAATGATGAGTTTATATAAATGTAAATTTTAGTTCCAACAATTTGGGTCATCTGTGAATACAAGTATGTTTAATATAAAATTTATTTTAATATAAAAAAGCTATTGATAATGTCATATAGATTGGAAATTTTAAACTCTATTGATGAACATTGAGTCTCTTTTCACTTAAATGTTATATTGCATAAATCAAACACTTTGTCAAAACAAAGCAATAAATGAACAGACAGGTAGGTGATAATTTCTGGCAGTGACAAAGCTATGTAAAAATCTAACAGTGTAAAGTGATGTGGCAGGTATGCGAAGGCATCTAATTTAAGTAAAATCAGCAAGAAGGATCTCAGAAGAGATGGCGCTGGAGTCATGTTCTCAAGTAGAGATGAGCGTGTTTTGAAATGATATGGTCAGAGCCTCACGTGATTTGAATACTATTTCTTACATATCTACTGGTGAGTTTCAGAGGCAAGCAAGAACTTGAATGAGAGTACATTAGAAAACTAATTATATTTCAAGAATATTTTACAAATGGTTTGAGGTAGGCTTAGTGATATGGTTTGGCTGTGTTCCCACCCAATTCTCACCTTGAATTGTAATAATCCCCGCACATTAGCCACCTGGTGGGGCCAGGTGGAGATAATTGAATCATGGGGGCCATTTCCTCCCATAGTGTTCCCGTGGTAGTGAATAAGTCTCATGAGATCTGATGGTTTTATAGAGGGGAATTTCCCTGCACAAGCTCTCTGTTGCCTGCTGCCATGTAAGATGTGTCCTTCTTCCTCTTCACTTTCTGCCATGATTGTGAGGCCTCCTCAGCCATGTGGAACTGTGAGCCAATTAAACCTCCTTCCTTTGTAAATTACCCAGTCCCAGGTATGTCTTTATTAGCAGTATGAGAACGAACTAATACACTTAGCTTATGTACAAATTATAATAATTATAATAACTTGTACCTAAGCTAAGCCTGCCTCAAATCATTCTTGAAATATGATTGTCCACTTTGCAATTCAAAAGATACCAAGTTTCTTAGATTAATACATTTTTGAAATGCCTAAATAAGGAAGGGTTTTCAAACAGAAGGCTTCCCATTTAGGTTTCTTCTGCTTCTTGTCCTATAGTATTTAAACACCACCATCCAGGACATCCAAGAAATGGTGGTTCCTTCTTAAGACAAAGGACCATTCATCTTTATCTTTCTATAGTATTGCACACCTCTGGCATATAATAAGCATTCAAAAACCATTTGATCAACCAATCAATCTATCTTTTATCCTCCAATGTCAAGCTAAGTCAGTTTCTAACACGTAGAAAACACTAAATCAATGTGTTTGTTGAGTTAGCATGCTATGAATACATCATTCATCTAAATCCCTGAGTTTTGGAGGCAGGAAAATCAGAAGGACGCTGACATTGGAGGCAGGCAAGTCTGGAGTCAAGGGAGCCCCAGCCCCACTCTTCAGTATCTATTTGGACTTAAACAAGTCCAGTAACCTTTCTGCATTTCAGACACTTCATGTGTTACAAAAGGATTATAGCTTTCAAGGTGCCGTGAGGGGTTGAAAGACAATGTGTGGAGCTCCCAACAAAGTGTGTGGCCCAGGGTAAGCCCGAGAATCATAAAAATCGATGTGATGATGGTATTATTATTAAGTGCCTTGTACATGTTTATGCCTTGGGTGCCCACGAATACAATTAGTAATGACTATTTTCATCATTGTGGGTACCAAGAGGCTTTCTGAGTTTTTTTTCCAAGCAGAACAGAACCAAGAACTAATTATTATACTCCAAACCCTTATTCTTAGTCTCAAGACTAAGCAGCACATGCCATGAGAGTTAGAGTCCTCCCTCTAGCTAGGAGCCTCTGCTAGGAAGCAAGCCAGTGAGCTATCCATAAAAGCACAACCTCTGCTAGAGAACAGTAAGCTGCAGACAGGTTTTATACGTGGCTATTCTTCTCAGACCAGAAGAGACATTCTGTTGGCACTTTCATCTGACAGTATAAAGTTACAATACAAATATAAGGGTAGTTGTTATTGGATAACACTTCAACAGCATTTTCTTTTTAAATCTCTGTATAGAGAGGATTTCTATTAACATATAACAGGCCAAAAACCTGAGCATCATCCTGAGCATCATTCTTTCTCTCACGCCCTGCCTCCAATCCCTCAGAAAATGTGATTGTCCTACTTTCAAGATCTACCCAAATCTGGCTTTTCTCACCACCTCCAATGCTACAACCTGGTTGGAGTCACCATCATCTTTCACTGGGAGGTTGCACAAGCCTCTCACAGACTCCACTGTTTCTACCCCTGACCCCTGCAGTCTACTCTGAGCACAGCAGTCAGAAGCATTCTTTGAGACTTCCTTTTAGACACACTTCTGCCCAGCACCCTGCAATCACTTCCCACTTCTGAGCTGGTGGGCTCTGAGGCCATCCATGGTCTGGACCCAATACCAGTCCAGCCTCCCCTCTGAAAGCTCCACCCTCCCTCACTGCTGCAGCCATGCCAGACTACATGCTCATCCATGGATGCAAGTGGCAAGCACCTGTCTCGTGATCCTTGCTCTATCTGCTCTCCATTTGGAAGTCTCTTCTCTCAGATAGCCATGATCTATTTCTTTATCTTTTTCAAATTTTGTCTCAAGCTTCATCTTTTCAGGGGGTCTACCCACTGCTCTGATCACCCTGCTTAACCCTGAAACCTCCCCCACCCAGACACACACAGCACAGCGCTCTGCACTCTCATCACTCTGTCCTACTGTTCTCCATAACTCTGTTCACTTTTACCACTCTGTACTGCCCACTTTATTGTGTTTATTGTTGACTACCTGCCCCTCCCTGTGAAAAACAAGCAGCTTGAGGATGGAGATCTTTGTCTCTTTTGCTCACTGATTTGCTGAAGCACAGAAAACTTATGAGCAGTGCTTGGCTCATAGCAGGTACTCAGGAAATACTGAATCAGTGAATATAAACTAAGAAGACAATGATGGCTTACCATGAGTGGAAAGATGCCCATCATGTGGGAAGCAAGGAAATCTTTACGTGTGCAAAATCAGGGCTTTGTCACCTGTTTAGAGCAACCATTTCTTCCTCTGTTTAGAGACATTAACAGGATATGAGCAGGTGTTTAGTAGAGAATATAATCAGTTTAGTTTTTCAGAGCAGATGATACAAAAATATTCTCCTCATACAGATTATGAGATATTGAGCCTAACAGTTTTGAAATTTAGGAAAAGTTAATATGAATGAGAGAAAAATAACCAAAAAGAAATAGCAATTATTCCTTACTAATGTTATTTTTCTGCCTGCAAAGTAAACATGGTAAAAGAAATTTTTCACTTTAAGTTATGAAAGTTGACACTATTATCTATAATTTTTACATGTGCCTCTATTATATGTCCTCTAGTCTTTCACTAAACTAGTCCCACTGTAATCTGCTATTATTTGTACTTATTTTACCTATAATTTGGAAATAACGTGATTAGCATATTTTTCCTTAAATTTTATTCCTGGTCTCAAAGACTTTTTCGACATAGTCATTAACTCTAAGACTAAACAAAAGAGAATAGCTAAAGAAAAGGTTATACTAGGCTGGAAAGCTACAGGTTGAAGGCCAGGTTGGCCCACATTTTTTTTTTTTTTATAAATAAAGATGATTGAAACAGCCATGCCCGTTCACCTGCCTCTTGTCCATGGCTGCTTTCTAACTGGCAGAGTTGAGTATTTGTGACAGAGACCATATGGCCACAGAGCCAAAAATATTTACTCTCTGTCCCTTTACAGAAAGGTTTGCTGACCTTGTATGAGGCAGTCGATCTTCCTTCCTACTGGCTTTTCACATGTTGCTGTGTGTCTATGTGAGGTCATTTATTGAGCACCAAATATGCCAAACATGCATCATGGCTATGAGTCTAGCACAAGAAGGTGACGCTCGCAAACATGTCATGATAGTTGCCGAAGGTGCTGTGGACAAACATCACTCCCTTCCCTCCACGTTAGAGACAAGATGGGAAAGAGAAATGGGGAGAAATTGTTCATATCCACAAAGTAGAAGTCCTTCACTAAAGAGCACTGGCTCAGCCCTTGAATGCTGAGAAACTAAAAACAGAGAAAGGTTAAGGACACAGGAAACAGGGATGAGGAACAGCTCCTTACATTTTCTAATAACTCAGGGTATTGCCAGTGGCCAGAGCCAACCCAAATCATCACATCCAAACATGGGACGAGGCAAAATCTGAAACTGTTAAGAGATATGCAGCGTCAGTTTGATTCCCGCTGCGGACGAGGGGCAGCCCGCACATGCTGAGGATGGACCCCGACCCTCCTGCTGCTAGCAGGCTGAGGGCAATGCCATCTCTATGCTACCCTGTGTCAGGTCACCACAGTGTCCCCAGAATCTGAATGCTGAGTGCAACCAAGGTTTTAGTTCAGCAACGTGAAACACCAGCTGCTCCTCCACACCCCGGCACTCCCACGCTGCACCCCACACCCCGGCACTCCCACGCTGCACCCCACACCCCGGCACTCCCACGCTGCACCCCACACCCCGGCACTCACACGCTGCACCCCACACCCCGGCACTCCCACGCTGCACCCCACACCCCGGCACTCCCACGCTGCACCCCACACCCCGGCACTCCCACGCTGCACCCCACACCCCGGCACTCCCACGCTGCACCCCACACCCCGGCACTCCCACGCTGCACCCCACACCCCGGCACTCCCACGCTGCACCCCACACCCCGGCACTCCCACGCTGCACCCCACACCCCGGCACTCCCACGCTGCACCCCACACCCCGGCACTCACACGCTGCACTCCACACCCCGGCACTCCCATGCTGCATCCCATCCGAGGAAAGCACAAGGAAATCATGTGAGCACCACAGGGGCCAATGTGTGCTGCATCGTCTCCAGCGTTCCAGTCAACAGACACTGAGCAGTAGACAGCAAAGAATTCCTCAAGCTGGGTTCAACAGGAATCCCTTCCTTGAGAATACGTACCAGACCACAGGATTATTTTAGAAAGCATTAATCCTAGGAACATGTACTTGGGGTGATTCCTAACATACTAGGAGTTATAAATAGAGCACAGACATATTTGGTCTATAAATAAAATTCTTTTAACTGATGTTTTATTGTGGTAAGATATACATAACTAAAATGTGCCATTTCAATGATTTTCAAATGTACAACTCAGTGGCATTAAATTCATTCCCATTGTTGTGCAGACATCACCAATATCCACTCCAGCACTTTCCATCATCCCACACTGAAACTCCGTACCTTTCAGGTAGGAGAGAAAAAACACCAGAGAGGAGACAGGACTAACATGCAGCTCCCATTTAGACAAACAGATCAGCGTCTGGAGATTCACATTGTGAACTTCTGTTCCAAGGACATACTAGGGAGACTGAAAGAATTCACAGACCCTTTGAAAGTTTTTCTCTACCTGCCCTGGTAGCCGAAGACAAAAGACATAAACTCTTGGGAGCTCTATGTCCCTGCCCATCACCTGAGAAACCCGAGTACTTATCCTGGCCAACATAGGGCAAGGTGGTAGCCCCCTTCTACAACTGTAGCTTGTGCTCTCTTGAGAGTGCCACCTCCTGGCTGGGGCCAACCAACTCAAGCCATTACAGCAACTCATAAGAGAACAACCCTGCTTCATAGAAGGAGAAAACAACAGCTAATTCCATTGCCTGCAACATCCTGGCTAACCAGAGGTCCTGAGTCTGTCCCTGTGAAAATTTCACTGCTAGCATAACCAGCATTTGAGAAAACCATCACATTACAACAACCAAAAAATCCCAGAGTTCACTTCACTCCCCTGCCACCTCCACCAGAGCAGGGGCTGTTATCCAGAATTGGGAGACCTGAAGACAAATCACAGCACAGGACTTTTTGCAGACATTCTGCAGCACCAGCCTGGAGCCCAGTAGCCCCACTGGGTGTCTAGACCCAGAAGGGCATTAGCAATCACTGCAATCTGGCTCTCAAGAAGTCCTATCCCTAGAGGAAGGGGGAGGGCACACATCAAGAGAGCACCACCATGTGGGACAAGAGAATCTGAATAGCAGCCCTTGAGGTCCAGATCTTTCCACTGAAACAGTCTACCCAAATGAAAAGAAACCAAAAAAGTAATTCTGGTAATATGACAAAACAAGTTGTATAGTACCCCCAAAAGATCACACTAGCTCTCTAGCTGTGGATCCAAACCAAGAAGAAATCTCTGAATTGCCAAAAAAAAAAAAAAAAAAAAAAAAAATTGGAAGGTTGGTTATTAAGCTATTCAAGGAGGCACCAGAATAAGGTGAAAACCAACTTCAAGAAATTTTGAAAACAATACAGTATATGGATGAAAAAGTCTCCAGAGAAACATGTATCATAAAGCAAAGACAATCACAATTTCTGGAAATGAAAGACACACTTAGAAAAATACAAAATAAACTGAAAAGTTTCAACAATAGAATAAAACAAGTAGAATAAAGAACTTCAGAGCTCAATGACAAGGCTTTCAAATTAACTGAAAAAAAAAGACAAAGAAAAAAGAATTTTAAAAAATTAACAGACTCCAAGAAATTTGGGGTTTTGTTAAATAACCAAGCATAAGAATAATTGGCATTCCTGAGGAAGAAAAGAAATCTAAATGTTTGGAAAACTTATTTGAGGGAATACTCAGGGAAAACTTCCCTGGCCTTGCTAGAGATCTAGACATCCAAATACAAGAAGCTCAAAGAACACCTGGAAAATTCATCACAAAAAGATCATCACCTATGCACATAGCCATCAGGTTATCTAAAGTTAAGATGAAAGAAATAATCTTAAGAGCTGTGAGGCAAAAGCAGCAGGTAACCTATAAAGAAAAAGCTATCAGATTGACAACAGATTTCTCAGCAGAAACCCTACAGGACAGAAGGGATGGGGTCCTATATTTAGCCCCCTTAAACAAAACAATAACAGTCAAGAATTTTATATCTAGTGAAACTAAGCTTCATAAATGAAGGAGAGAAAAAGTATTTTTCAAACAAACAAATGTTGAGAGAATTTGTTACTACCAAGCCAGCACTGCAAAAAATGCTAAAAGGAGTCTTAAATCTTGAAATGAAACCTAAAATACACCAAAATAGAACCTCTTTAAAGCATAAATCTCACAGGATCTATAAAACAATAACACAATTTAAAAAACAACGTATTGAGACTACAACTAGCATGATGAATAGAACAGTACCTCACATCTCAATATTAATGTTGAACGTAAATGGATTAAATGCTTCACTTAAGAGATACAGGGCTGGGAATGGTGGCTAACACCTGTAATCCCAGCACTTTGGAAGGCAGAGGTGGGCAGATCACGAGATCAAGAGACCTAGACCATCCTGGCCAACATTGTGAAACCTCGTCTCTACTAAAAACACAAAAATTAGCTAAGCGCGGTGGTACAAGCCAGTAGTCCCAGCTACTCGGGACATTGAAGCAGGAGAATCACTTGAACTCGGGAGGTGGAGGTTGCAGTGAGCCAAGATCACACCACTGCACTCCAGCTTGGTGACCGAGCGAGACTCCATCTTAAAAAAAAAAAAAAAAAGATACAGAATGGCAGAATGAATAAAAATCCACCAATCAAGTATCTGCTGTCTTTAAGAGATGCACCTAACACATAAGGCTTCACCTAAACCTAAGGTAACCAAGTGGAAAAAGATATTCCACACAAATGGATACCAAAAGTGAGTAGAAGTATCCATTCTTGTATCAGACAGAAAATACTTTAAATCAGCAACAGTTAAATAGTGATCAAAAAACTCGTCCAACAGGAAAAAAATCACAATCCTAAATATATATGCACCTAACACTGGAGCTCCAAAATTTATAGAACAATTATCATGAGACCTAAGAAATTAGATAGACAGCAACACTATAATAGTGGGCACTTCAATACTCCACTGACCACTAGAAAGGTCATAAATACAGGTCAACAAAGAAACAGTGGAAAACTACACCCTAGAACAAATGGACTTAACAGATGTTTACAGAACATTCTATCCGACAACTGCTGAATATATGTTCTTCTCCTCAGCACATGGAACATTCTCCAAAATAGACTATATAATAGGCCACAAAATGTGTCTCGGCCGGGTGTGGTGGCTCACACCTGTAATCCTAGCACTTTGGGAGACCAAGGCAGACAGATCACCTGAGGTCAAGAGTTTGAGACCAGCCTGGCTAACATGGCAAAACCGTGTCTCTACTAAAAATACAAAAACAATTAGTTGGGCATAGTGACATGCACCTGTAGTCCCAGCTACTAGGGAAGGTGAGGTAGAAGAATCACTTGAACCTGGGAGGAGGAAGTTTCAGTGAGCTGAGATCATGCCACTGCACTCCAGCCTGGGCAACAAGAGTGAGACTCCATCTAAAAAAAAAAAAAAAAAAAAAAACCATGTCTCAATTAATTTAAGAAAATTGAAATTATGTAAAATACTCTCTCTCAGACCACAGTGGAATAAAATTACAAATTAACTGTCAAAGGAACCATCAAAACTATACAAATACATGGAAACTGAATAATCTGTTACTGAATGATCCTGGGGTTAAATAAAATAAAAATGGAAATTAAAAAATATATTTGAACTGAACAATAATAGTGACACAGCCAATCAAAATCTCTGGGACACAGCAAAAGTGGTGCTAAGAGGAAAGTTCATAGCATTGAATGCCTACATCAAAAAGTCTGAAAGAGCACAAATAAACAACCCAAGGTCACACCTCAAGGAACTAGAGAAGCCAGAACAAACCAAACCCAAACCCAGCAGAAAAAAAGAAATAACCAGGATCACAGTAGAACTAAATAAAATTGAAACAAGCAAACAAAAACAATACAAAAGATAAATGAAGCAAAAAGCTAGTTCTTTTTGCATAAACAAAAGTGAGAGACTATTAGCAAGATTAGCCAAGAGAAAAAGAGAGGAGATCCAAGTAAACTCAATTAGAAATGAAATGGGAGATGTTACAACTAATACCACAGAAATACAAAAGATCATTCAAGGCTACTATGAACACCTTTATGTCCACAAACTAGAAAACCTAAAAGATTTGGATAAATTATTGGAAATACATAATCCTCCTAGATTAAACCAGAAAAAAATAGAAACTCTGAACAGACCAATAACAAGTAGCAAGGTTAAAACAGCAATAAAAAAAACTGCCAGCAACAACAAGTCCAGGAGCAGCTGGATTCTATCAGACATTCAAAGAAGAATTGGTACCAATCCTACTGAAACTATTCCAAAAGATAGAGAAAGAGGGAATCCTCTCTAAATCATTCTATGAAGCCAGCATTACCCTAATACCAAAACCAGGAAAAGATATAACAAAAAAAAAGAAAACTACAAACCAATATCCCCGATGAACATAGATGTGAAAATCCTCCACAAAATACTATCTAACTCAATTCAACAGCATATCAAGAAGATAATCCACCATGATCAAGTGTGTTTTATAACAGGGATACAGGGATGGTTTAACATATGCAAGTCAACAAATGTGATACAGCACATAAACAGAAGTAAAATCAAAAATCATATGATCACCTCAATAGATGCAGAAAAAGCATTTGATGAAATCCAGCATCCCTTTATGATTAAAACCCTCAGCAAAACAGCATAGAGGGACATACCTTAAGGTAATAAAAGTCATTTATGACAAATCCACAGCCAACATCATACTGAATGGGAAAAGCTCAAAGAATTTTCTCTGATCAGTGGAACAAAACAAGGATGCCCACTTTCACCACTTGTATTCAACATAGTACTGAAAGTCTTAGCTGGAGCAATTAGACAAGAGAAGTAAACAAAAGGCATCCAAATCAGTAATGAGGAAGTCAAACTGTTGCTAATGCCACTGACATGATGGTATACTTAGAAAACCCTAAAGACTCATCCCAAAAGCTCATAGATCTAATAAATGAATTCAGTAAAGTTTCAGGTACAAAATTAATGTACACAAATCAGTAGCACTGCTATACACCAACAATGACCAAGCTTAGAATCAAATAAAGAACTCAATGTCTTTTACAACAGCTACAAAAAAGTAAAATACTTAAGAATATACCCAACAAAAATGTGAAAAATCTCTGCAAGGAAAACTACAAAACACTGCTGAAAGAAATCACAGACAACACAAACAAATGGAAACACATCCTATGCTCGTGGTTGGGTAGAATCAATATTGTGAAAAGGATAATTCTTCTGAAAGCAATTTATAAATTCAATGCAATTCCCATCAAAATACCATCATCATTTTTCACAGAACTAGAAAAAACAATCCTAAAATTCATATGGAACCAAAAAAGAGCCCATATAGCCAAAGCAAGATTAAATAAGCAAAAAGAACGAATCTGGAGGCATCACGTTATCTCACTTCAAGCTATACTACAAGGCTATAGCTACCAAAACAGCATAGAACTGATGAAAAAATAAGCACATAGACCAATAAAACAGAATAGAGAACCCAGAAATAAAGCCAAATACTTATGATCAACTGATCTTCCACAAAGCAAACAAAACATAAAATGGAGAAAGGATCCCCTATTAACACATGCTGCTGGGATAATTGGCAAGCCACATGTACAGAAATGAAACTAAATCCTCATCTCTCACCTTATACAAAATCAACTCAAAATGGATCAAAGACTTAAATCTAAGACCTGAAACCATAAAAATTCTAGACGATAACACTGGAAAAACTCTTCTAGACATTGGCCTAGGCAAAAAGTTAATGATCAAGAACTCAAAAGCAAATGCAACAAAAACAAAGATAAACCAATGAAACTTAATTAAAGTAAAAACCTTCTGCAAATCAAAAGAAATAATCATCATAGTAAACAGACAATGCACAGAGTGGGAGAAAAGATTCGCAAACTACAAACTATGTATCCAATAGAGGACTAATATTCATAATCTACAAGAAACTCAAACAAATCAACAAGATAAAAACAAACACATCAAAAAGTGAGCTAAGGCCATGAACAGACAATTTTCAAAAGAAGATATACTAATGGCCATCAAACATATAAAGAAATGCACAACATCACTAATTATCATGGAAATGCAAATAAAAACCACAATGCAATACCACCTTTCTCCTGCAAAAATGGCCATAATTTTAAAAATCAAAAAATTATAGACATTGGTATGGATGTTGTGAAAAGGGAACACTTTTACACTGCTTGTAGAAACATAAGCTAGTATAACCACTATGAAAAACAGTATGGAAATTCCTTAAAGAACTAAAAGTGGAACTTCCGTTTGATCCAGCAATCCCACTTGTGAGTATCTACCCAGAGGAAAAGAAGTCATTATATGAAAAAGACACTGGCACACACATTTATAGCAGCACAGTTTAACAGTTGCAAAAATAAGGAGCCAGCCCAAATGCCCATCAATCAATAGTGGATAAAGAAAATGTGGTGTATATATATACCATGGAACATTACTCAGCCATAAAAATGAATGAAATAATGGTATTTGCAGCAACCTTGATGGAGTTGGAGATCACTATTCTAACTGATGTAACTCAGGAATGGAAAACCAAACATCGTATGTTCTGACTTATAAGTGGAAGCTATGCTATGGGGACACAAAGGCATAAGAATGACATAATGGACTCTGGGACTTGAGGAGAAGTGGGTGATAAGGGACAAAAGGCTGTACATTGGGTACAGTGTACACTGCTTGGGTGATGGGTGCACCAAAATCTCATAATCACCACTCAAGAACTTATCCATGTAACCAAACACCACCTGCTTTCTCAAAACTATTGAAATAATAATAATTAAAAAAAAAAAACCTCTGTACCTTTCAAACAATAACTCTCCATTCTGCCTTCCCCCAGCCCCTGGCAACCATCATTCTTCTTTCTGTCCCCATGAGTCTTACTAAGTATATTGTATGAGGGGAATCACAGAATATTTGTCATTTTGTGACTGACTTATTTCACTTAGCATAAAATCTTCAAGGTTTATCCATGTTGTAGTATGTCTCAGAATTTCATTGCCTCTTAATGCTGATTAATATTTCATTGTATGTATGTAGCACATTTTGCTTATCTATTCTTCCACTGATGGATCTTTGGGTTGCTTCCATGTTTTAGCTGATGCAAGTAATGCTGCTATGGACATGCGTATACACACATTTGTTTAGGTCCCTACTTTCAATTCTTTTGGATATATCCCCAGAAGTGAAAACGCTGAATGACAAGATATATCTATTTTCAATTTCTTGAAGAACCTCCAAACTGTTTTCCATTGTTACTGTACCATTTTACATTCCCACCAGCAGTGTCAAGTGTTCAAATATCTGTTTTTGTTTTTGTTTTCTAGTAGTAGCCAAACTAACGGCTGGGAAGTGGTACATTGTTGCGGTTTCGATATGCATCCCTATTAATTAGTGATATTGGGCACAGGCACATTTTTAAAAACATACAATCAATAAAATTGCTAGGTCATGGGGATTGAAAGTGGTCAGTTTTTCTGGGTAATATTTATTGTTCTCCAAAGTGATTTGCATTTACAAGAATTGTTAACACATAACAAGCATCCTAGATTTGTTTTAAGAAAGAAGGGACTTCACAATTTTTCACTTTTACTTAACTTTGAAATACTAAGATTTATAGAAAAGTTGTAAGGATAGTATAAAGGGTTCCAGTGAGCCTTCCACCCAGTCTCCCCTAATTTTAGCGTGTTATATAACCATGACACATTTATCAAAACTAAGAAATCAACATTGCTACACTATTGACTAAACTATGGACTTTATTTGGCTTTTTGACAGTTTTTCCAATAATGCCCTTTTCCTATTCAAGGATCCAATCCAGAATACCACGTTGCATTCATCTGTTATGTCTTCTTAGTCTCTGCCAATCCGTGACAGCGTCACTGTCTTCCCTTGTTACTCATGAACTTGACACTTTTGAAGAGTATTAGTCAGGTATTTTGTAGAATGCTCCTCAATTGCGGATTTTTTCTCTAGATTGCACTGGCATTCTGGATTTGGGGGTAAGGTAACACAGTGGTGATGTCCTTCTCATTGCATCATTTCCAGGGATGCTTGACATCAACACTACTTATCACTGGTGATGCTCACCTCCATCACTTGGATAAGGCTAAATCTTTCAGATTTTTTCACTGTAGGGTCACTATTTTTACTTTTCCAAAACTCTATTTATTACAAGCAAGGCACTAAATCCAGCTTACTTTCATAAGGAGGGAAATTAAACTCCACCTGCTGGAGGAAAAACTATGAAAGAATTTGTGGATATATGTTAAATTCAGTACAGTAATTAATAAATCTTTGGCCACAGATATTTGAGGTTATTCAAATATCCTGTTTCTTCCTTATGTTTCAGACACTAATTTCAGCAGTCATCCATGAATCTTTCCTATGGCGACTATTACTGTGGTATTCTAGTGGTGTATTTGTCCATTCTTACACTGCTAACAAAGACATATGGGAGACTGGGTAATTTATAAAGAAAAAGATGTTTAATGGACTCACAGTTCCACAGGACTGGGGAGGCCTCACAATCATGGTGGAAGGCAAAGATAGAGCAAAGGCACATCTTGTATGGTGGTAAGCAAGAGAGCATGTGGAGGGGAACTGCCCTTTATAAACCATCAGATCTCATGAGATTTATTCACTATCACCAGAACAGCATGGGAAAAAATCAGAGCCATGATTCAATTACCTCCCACTGGGTACCTCCCAGGCCAGGTGGGGATTATGGGAGCTACAATTCAAGACAAGATTTGAGTGGGGACACAGCCAAACCACATCAAGTGGTGTCTTCCATTTCCCTCCTTTCTTTTATGTTTACTATTTGGAAATCTTCCACAAGGAAGATTTTTTTCACTTCTTCAGTTATTATGTATTTAACCATTTATTTTTATCAGTATAAACTCACAGATATTTACTTTTTTCTTTGGGTTATAACTCAGTAGTATTTTTATTAATTTTGTTGTTCAAAGTTTTCCAGCTTTGGCCACTGGGAGCTCTTTCAGGTTGGCTGCATGTTGCTTTGTCAGGCCTGTTCCCTGACCCCTTACTTTCTGGCAACACAAGGTCCTCCAGGTTCATCATGCATTTTCCCTTCCCTAGCCCTTGAGTCAGCCAGTTCTCCAGGGAGTCCTAGTTCAAAACGGACAACTTTTCAAATCAACTTCCATGTGTTGCTATGTATAATTTTCAGATTCTTTCTTTTCTTTTTTTTTTTTTGAGATGGAGTCTCGCTCTTTCACCCAGGCCAGAGTGCAGTGGCACGATCTCCGCTTACTGCAAGCTCTGCCCCCTAGGTTCATGCCTTTCTCCTGCCTCAGCCTCCTGAGTAGCTGGGACTACAGACACCCGCCACAACGCCCGGCTAATTTTTTTTTTTTTTTTGTATTTTTAGTAGAGATGGAGTTTCACTGTGTTAGCCAGGATGGTCTCCATCTCCTGACCTAGTGATCCACCCGTCTTGGCCTCCCAAAGTGCTGGGATTACAGGCATGAGCCACCGCGCCCGGCCAATTTTCAGATTATTTCTATGCTATAATTAATGCTATAATTAACTATAGATTTTCCATAATTAAGTCATATGTATTATAGCACTCAGACTAACAGGCTGCAGTAAGAAGGAACATGAACCTATCACCAATGTTTTACCCTTCTTTCTCTAGCACTCACCTGGTAATCTCTGTGGGCCCAACTGGCTCTAAGATTCTATGATTCTATAATGAAAAGACAAAAGGCAAAAGATGTTCCCATGAGGGACATTTCTTTGAATCAGAAAATTGTTTCATTTTGCCAAAAATAAATTTAAGCCTTAGTTGACCTCCATTTTGCCTTTTCTATCCTTCCTGTCATTTAATCCTATTCCTTCCATTTTATTATCAATTTTGAAATGAAAATTTAAATTTGTTTTGCTTGATCAAATTATGATATAAATAAAGTAATAAAAATACAAAACAATAAATTATACTTATAAAGTCTACAGCTTCTTGAAATTAACATATTATAATCTACTGCTGCTGCAATCTTTAGTCATCAAACAGTTTAAACACTAGAGTAGTGGTTCTTGACAGAGGGGACTTTGCCCCGATATGGATTGGCTGTGCCCCCATGCAAATCTTATCTTGAATTGTAGCTTCCACAATTCCCACATGTTGTGGGAGGGATCCAGTAGGAGGTAATTGAATCATGGGGAAAGGCTTTTCCCATGATCTTCTCATGATAATTAATAAGTCTCATGAGACATAATGGTTTTGTAAGGGAGAACCCTTTTCACTTAGTTCCCATTCTCTCTTACTGCTGCCATGTAAGAAGTACTTTTCGCCTTCCACCATGATTGTGAGGCCTCCCTAGCCACATGGAACTGTGAGTTTATTAAACCTATTTTCTCTCCAGTCTCAGGTATGTCTTTATCAGTAGTGTGAAAATGAACTAATACAGTAAATTGGTACCAGTGGACTGGGGCATTGCTGAAAAGATACCAAAAAATGTGAAAGCAACTTTGGAACTGGCTAACAGGCATAGGTTGAAACTGTTTGGAGGGCTCAGAAGAAGACAGGAAATGTGGGAATATTTGGAACTCCCTAGTAGAGACTTTTTAAATGGCTTTGAGCAAAATGCTGATAATGATATGGGCAATGAAATCCGGGCTGAGGTGGTCTCAGATGGAGAGGAGGAATTTGTTGGGAACTGGAGCAAAGGTGACTCTTGCTATATTTTAGCAAAGATACTGGCAGCATTTTGCCCCTGACCTAGAGATTTGTGGAACTTTGAATTTGAGAGAGATGATTTAGGGTATTTGGCAGAAGAAATTTCTAAACAGCAAAGCATTCAAGGTGTGACTTGGGTGCTGTTAAAGGTGTTCAGTTTTAAAAGGGAAACAGAGCATAAAAGTTTGACAAATTTGCAGCCTGACAATGTGATAGAAAATAAAATCCCATTTTCTAAGGAGAAATTCAAGCTGGCTGCAGAAATTTGCATAATTAATGAGGAGCTGAATGTTAATCACCAAGACAATGGGGAAAATGTCTCCAGGGCATGTCAGAGACCTTCGTGGTAGCTCCTCCCACCACAGGCCCAGAGGCCTAGGAGGAAGAAATGGTGTCATTGGCCGGGACCAGAGTCTCTCTGCTGTGTGCAGTCTAAGGACTGTGTTCCAGTTGCTCCATCCATGACTAAAAGGAGCCAAGGTACAGCTTGGGCCATGGCTTCAGAAGGTGCAAGTTCCAAGCCTTGGCAGCTTCCATGTGGTGTTGAGCCTGCAGGTGCACAGGAGTCAAGAATTGAGGTTTGGGAACCTCTGCCTAGTTTTTCAGAAGATATTATGGAAACATCTGGATGTCCAGGCAAAAGTTTGCTGCAGCAGTGGGGCCCTCATGGAGAACCTCTACCAGGGCAGTGAAGAAGAGAAATGTAGGGTGGGGATCCCCACAGACTCCCCACTAGGGTGCTGCCTAGTGAAGCTGTAAGAAGAGAGCCACCATCCTCCAGACCCCAGAATGGTAGATCCACTGACAGCTTGCACAATGCACCTGGAAAAGCCACAGACACTCAATACCAGCCCATGAAAGCAGCTGGGAGGGAGGCAGTATCCTCCAAAGCCACAGGGGCAGAGCTGCCTGAGACCACGGGAACCCATCTCTTGCATCAGCATGACCCAGATGTGAGACATGGAGTCAAAAGATATCATTTTGGAGCTTTAAAATTTGACTTCCCTGCTGCATTTTGGACTTGCATGGGGCCTGTAGCCCCTTTGTTTTGGCCAATTTCTCCCATTTGTAACAGCTGTATTTACCCAATACATGTACCTACATTGTATCTAGAAAGTAATTAACTTGCTTTTGATTTTATGGGCTCACAGACAGAGGGGACTTGCCTCGTCTCAGATGAGACATTGGACTGTAAACTTTTGAATTAATGCTGAAATGGGTTAACAATTTGGGGTTCTACTGGGAAGGCATGATTGGTTTTGAAATTTGAGGACATGAGATTTGGGAGGGGCCAGGGACAGAATGATATGTTTTGGCTGTGTCCCCACAGAAATCTCATCTTGAATTGTAGCTGCCACAATTCCGTGTTGTGGGAGGGACCAAGTGGGGGGTAACTGAATCATGGGGGCACGTATTTCCTGTGCTGCTCTTGTGACAGTAAGTCTTACGAGATATGATGGTTTTATAAGGGGAAACCCCTTTCAGTCAGTTCTCATTCTCTCTTGCTGCTGCCATGTAAGAAGTGTCTGTTTCCTTCTGCCATGATTGTGAGACCTCCCAAGCCACATGGAATTGGGAGTCCATTAAACCTATTTTTCTTCCCAGTCTCAGGTATATCTTTATCAGCAGTGTGAAAATGGACCAATAGAACCCCCAAGGGACACTTGTCAATCTCTAGAGACATTTATGGTTGTGGCATCCTGGAGGGATACTACTGGCATCTAGCAGGGACAGTCCTGGAATGCTGCTAAGCATCTTATAATATATCAGAGCCCACCACACCAAAGAATTATCCAGCCCAAAAGCCAGTAGTCTCAAGACTGGTAAATTATGATCTAAAGGGACTTTTAATTTTCTAATTGGCTAGCTGGCTAAGTAACAGATATTTTCCTCCAAAACTCTTAAGGAAAATGATTAGCAAATTCCAAGGACTACTGCCACTAAAATGTTGAGTACAATAAAGAATTGTCTGGAAGAATCAGATGATAGAATACTTAGGATCCACTGTAGCTTTACAGTGCCAAGAAAGCAAAGACACGGTTAGGCTCATGCTACATCTTAACTTATTCCATTTTGAATAAGTGACTTATCTGACACAGCAAGGGTCAAATGCATCTGAAAAATACACTGTTAAATGCATGAATTATCAGTAAGTTAGCACTTTAAACAAACACATTGATGGTCTGTTGGCTAACATGATATGGTTCTAGTGTGATGAAGGTAAGTGAATTTGGGGCCAGGAGATAGAATCTAAGAGTGTAGTCATGGCTCCATCTCTTGCCGACTGAGTGACTCTAGCTGGGTCATATGGCTTACCTGGGCTTCAGTTTCTGCATCTGATAAACGTGAACGCTTATGTATGTCTGTTTTATCTACCTCACTGGTCATTGTGAGAATTCTTTTTTTAAGTACACTTTCTCTTTATTTGAGTATTGATATATTCTCATATCTTTTTTATACTCCTCATATATGGTTTTGGAAATAACAATGTATTTGGAAGACCAAGGAAAAGTAGATTCCTCCAGGGAGGAGGCTTCACACACCCCCATGTAGAGACATGATTGGTCTCCTATAATTAACTAACTTCTTTCCTCTTCATATGTCTCATTAGAGTGTGAAAATAGATTTTTAAAAGTATCATAGACAAGCCACAGACTTGTAGAAAATATTTTCAAAATGCATATCTGATAAAAAATGTGTATCTAAAATGTACAAAGAACTCTTAAAATTCAACAATAAGAAAACAAGCAACCCAGTTAAATAATGTAAAAAAACCTGAACAGACCCCTCACCAAAGAAGGTAAACAGATGCCAAATAAGGATATGAAAAAATGCTCAATATTGTTTGTCAACAGAGAATTGCAACTTAAAATGACAACAAAGTACCACTACATAAATATTGTAGTGGGTAATTTTTGAACTGGAAAAATTTGAGCAATAAAATAAATAGAATAATATATAATTTTAACTCAAAGTATCAAATAAATATCCATGAGTCCATACTGGTACTAATAGATAATTGAGTAAATATTTAAATGGGAGATATGAGACAAATTATGCATAAGAATTCTAAATAATTTGTCTGGATACTCCACCCTCAGGAGGTGGAGCAAAACTTCTCACTCATTAAGTGTGGGCTGCACAAAGTAGCCTCCTTCTAAAGAGTGCACTATGGAAAGAGAAAACCTAACAAACACCACCTTGGCAAGGTGAACAAGGTCACCATAAATAGTGATTAGTCATGTTGACAGTATGTACCCTTCAGATGATGTGATGACGATGGCACCTTACCTCTGTGGTTCTCCTCCCTAAAAGCCATGACCCCAGTCTAATCATGAGAATAACAACATAAAGATTTCAGTATGGGGCATCCTATTGTACCCCTGATTGGTGCTCTTCCAAACCTGCAAGGTCATACAAAGCAGAAAATGTCCCAGGAACTGCCTCAGCCAGAGGAGCCTCAGGAGACTTGACAGCTAAATGTTTCTTGGGATCCTGAATGAGATCCCAGAACAGAAAAGGACACTCAGTGTAAACCACATAAATATAAGTAAAATATAGGCTTTAAGTAATAAAAATATATCAATATTGGTACATGAATAATAATAAATGCACTAATATAATATATATAATATTGTAAGACGTTAATGATAAACACAGCCGGGGGTGGATGTGAACTCTGTCTACTCTAAGTTCACAATGTTTCTGTAGATATGCAAATCTCCTAAAACAAAGTTTATTTTAAAAACAATTATAATGATTGATGAAAAACATTGTGAGAGAGCAGTTGTGGTTTAAACTGTTATTGCATTTTGTGAGCATTTGGTTTTTCTAACAGAAGATGGAACTAGAAGACACACCTTTAGATTTGCTCAGTAGTTTACCCTGGGGCAGCTGGTACCACCCCTCTGTCATTAGCCATTTAGGAAAGCTAGGAGAAAAGTGTCAGTGTTTAATTACATGTCAGAGGACAATGAGCATCACAGAGTGCATGTGGAGTACATTGGAAAATGTTTCCTTCCACACAATGAGCCTGATATATCTCTCTAATAAAGGGCAAATGGAGAAGGACTTCCATCCCTGTCACTGAGTATGGACCACCAGGGTTGTCAGTTGTGGACCATCCTCATCACTGAGTATAGGCCACTAGTGTTGTCAGCTGTGGACCATCCCTGTCACCAAGTATGGGCCACCAGGTTTGTCAGCTGTGGACCATCCCTGTCACTGAGTATGGGCCATCAGGGTTGTCATCTGTGAATGGAAACCATTCATCTCTCCAGGACGCTGCAGCCCTAGTGAAGTGAATGTGCTCATATGAAGACTCACACAAGTATAAAATGTTTAGGCTTCTTGGGGATGAGGCTGGCTATGGCCACTGGCTGGAAAATGAGGTGTGTTTTCCTACCATCCTTCCCTCTTTCTCTACTCCATTCATATCAGCCTCAGACTTTCTGAAAATAAAAAAAAACAAAAAAAAACCCCACAATAAAATTAGTTCTTCATGTAGAGCGCAGCGCAGTTTGGTTTTGTATCCAGGACGCCTGTAAAGATAATATATTTCTCCCCTAAATTTCACCATAGAATGTCTCTTCTCAAACCATAGCAATTTCCCTCTCAGCTAAACAGAAGATTTTCCCAACTAGGAAATCACCAGACATGCTGTTTCCAGGATGACTTACTTTGAATGCTCAGTGCATTTGAAACTGAACTCCCATGGATAGGAAAGGGGTATGGAGCAGTCATTACATAGCAAATCTTGAAAATGCCAAGATCATTGAACTAAAAAACTTCAAGGCTGGGCACGGTGGCTCATGCCTGTAATCCTAGTACTCGGCCAATGCGGGTGGATCCCTTAAGCTCAGGAGTTCGAGATCAGCCTATGCAACACAGTGAGATCCCATCTCTATAAAAGATACAAAAATTAGCTTGGTGTTGTGGCATGCACCTGTAGTCCCAGCTGCACAAGAAGCTGAGGTGGGAAGATGGCTTGAGCCTAGGAGGTGGAGGTTGCAGTGAGCCGAGATCGCACCACTGCACTCCAGCCTGGGCAACAGAGCCAGGCCTGTCTCAAAATCATTAAAAAATAAATACATAAATAAATAAATGAATGAATAACTAATTCTATTCTTTCTTTTCCCCATCCCCACAGATAGCTACATTAATACAAATGACAGATTATAACCATATATAAACCTCCCAATTAAAACAAACAAATGACTAAAACAGGTGGCAGTGTTAATTGCCGATCTCTCTGTGGTCCACATTCTGTTTCGTTCCTTTAGAACGTCACTACCTACCCCTCGATCTGCAATGCTAGTAAAAGGACTTTCATGTCTGTGCACTTTAAGCATCTTGGGGATGGCATCACAGGAGCAGAAGAGGCCATGGGAAAAGAAACTTTGAATGCAGGGAGCATACTGAGGTAGTCAGCATGTTCTGCTGCTTGATCCTGACATTGGGCTATTGAAATTGAAGATGGAAAACCCGTATTGAGTCATTTGGCTCTCTCCCTTGAGGGCAGTAGATTATGCTGGACAGTATTTTATTTAGCACTCTGTCCAGTTCTATTTTAACTTGCTCTTCCTTGGAGGCCTATTAACTCAAACCCAGCAAGGATTTTATTACAAATGGAAGGCATTCTACTAGTTGGTCATTTCTTCCACAAAACACACATTCTCCAGCTGAGATATTAAAAAACAAAATTTACCAAACAACATGAGAACAGTGCTGGATTGTAGAAGGAGCAATAAGTGGATTGTCGCAAAGTGGCTCCAGACGCTCGCTCTGACTTGCCTGAAACACATGCTCACTGAGAATCCTCAACACTGGGTCCCTGGAAATAGGGACCATGTGACACTAAGCGACCTGTAGCACTGATATCCTCATAGCCCCTTTTCCCCACAAGTCCCAGGATACCCAGGTTCTGGGCAGTTCCTGTTCCCAGGCAATTCATAAACAGCTACACCACATGCAGACTGTTTGGTACTGAGGAAATCTCATTCAACATCGACAAGTTTGCTTTCAGGCTTGCCCTTTGTAAAAGTCAGAGTGGCCCCAGTGGAATGCAAGTCCATGCTACTGGTCAGAAAAACATCTTGGTCCTCATGTTTTCTCTATGGCAAAGATGAGAGGATGAGGGACACTGGGCTTTTCTCCTCCTGGGTTCTGCAAGCTTCTGCCTTCCCAAAAAGGCTGATTCCCTAACTCATGCCATTCTCCAACCTGGTGCATGAAAGACAGTGTCCCAGATGGCACCTTCCTTGAACAACAAAGAACGAGGACTTCTAGAGCCAAAAGCTGGGTTAAATATGTGCTCTGATGCTCATTCGCTACAGGAGCCTCGGGTTCCGCATCTATCAACTAGAAATAACACCCGTGCCTTAAGCAGGGGCTGGGGTAAGGTGCTGTGGGTACATAGTGAGGGTCAGAACAGTAAAGAAATGCAATCAGTGGTAGCTACTACTGTTGGCATAATTACGAACAGCAGGAGGATGAACAGACACCCCCTGAAAACTTAGGAACATTATTTTTAAATCACATGTAGTGTGAAAAGTACACAGTTTGGTTTGTTATACAGAAACAAGATGTTTAAATCCATGGAGTAGAAGATAATGATAATGCACTGATTGTTGGTTATGAAAGTCAGGAAGAAAATAACCAAGTTCAGTGCTCATCTTGATCTAGGACCATTCATGGCCTGACCTCTCTAATGCGCAGAGGATAAAACCCAGGAGTGCATGATGCTCACGAAGGATCAGTCAGAACTTCTCCAAGGTTCAGCTCCCAAATCAGCCAGAACTTCTCCAAGGATCAGCTCCCAAATCAGCCGGAACTTCTCCAAGGATCAGCTCCCAAATCAACCAAAACTTCTCCAAGGATCAGCTCCCAAATCAACCAGAACTTCTCAAAGGTTCAGCCCCCAAGTCAACCAGAACTTCTCCAAGGATCAGCTCCCAAATCAACCAGAACTTCTCAAAGGTTCAGCCCCCAAGTCAACCAGAACTTCTCCAAGGATCAGCTCCCAAATCAACCAGAACTTCTCCAAGGATCAGCTCCCAAATCAACCAGAACTTCTCCAAGGATCAGCCCCCAAATCAACCAAAACTTCTCCAAGGATCAGCTCCCAAATCAACCAAAACTTCTCCAAGGTTCAGCTCCCAAATCAACCAGAACTTCTCCAAGGTTCAGCTCCCAAATCTACCAGAACTTCTCCAAGGTTCAGCCCCCAAATCAACCAGAACTTCTCCAAGGATCAGCCCCCAAATCAGCCAGAACTTCTCCCAGGATCAGCTCCCAAATCAACCAGAACTTCTCCAAGGATCAGCTCCCAAATCAACCAGAACTTCTCCAGGGATCAGCTCCCAAATCAGCCAGAACTTCTCCCAGGATGGGGGATCTTTTGATCTCATGCAGTCCCTTCACAGTGCTCAGCATTTTACCCAGAAAAGCATCAGTCACCCCTAAAGGCTAAGTTTTAAACACTGTAAAACCAGAAAATGTTATATACACTACTGTGTGAGGCGTGAACGTGAGGAAGTGAGTGTGAAAGTGCATGAATATGAGCATTCAAGAAGGCATGAGTGTGCGAGGGAACCCCACCAACAAAGTAAGCAAGAGGACCTGGCCTCTTTCTATTTGCGACAACCCTAAATGGGGCTCAGAGATTTCCCACTGCGTTCCTTACCCTCTTAGTGCTGCACGCCGGCCTCTACAAAGCCATAAGCAAGGAAAAGAAGTAGAGGATCGTGAGTTTAAACAGTTCAAAATAAATTGGTATTGGGTGTTAAGGGCTTAAATTCCACTATCTATGTTTACCGTGTCTTAAGTTGAATTAAAACAAAATCCAACAACACAATGTTACAAGATGTTGCTGCCTAGAAACAACTGAAAGCTGGATTAGAGGGGCATAAATTAAGGATTGGGTACATTGTAACTAATTAAATATATACAAAAGAAAAGCAGATTTGGTAATATAATTGCAGGCTATGTAGTATTTCAAGTCTCTTATTGAGTTAAAAGAGCATTGTATTATGTTAAATTGGTAAGCTAATAATAAAGATATGACATGAATAAACTTTAATATACCAAATAAAAAAGCCCCAAAGTGTATATATATAAAACAAAAAACAGACAGATGTATGGCTGCAGCTGATAAATTTTTAACTCACCATTATCAACATACAGCAGATACCATATTCAAAAATGAAACAAAATAAGAACTGAAAAAAATAAGTAATAAAATTAATGAGGTGGAACTAATAGAATATGCCAAACTTTTTATCTGAAAGTTAGAAATCTCATCCTCTTTCATACCTTCTGTCCATATACAATCACCAACTGTGAAAACAAAATTATCATCCTATTTCCAGAAATTATTAAGACAAAAAGCTGATAAAAAATATTTAGCTAAATGAAGCATTAGAATACCAAATGATAGGGATGTGCGTGATGACTTAACTGTTTCTTGCACGTTTTGCTGGGCGCTGTAATTCAGATAGTTTGTGTTTTAACTTTTACAATCTTTTAGTCTGCAATAATAATTTTATAGTTTGCTGTGGAACTGCACCAAATCCATAAAATCTGCAAAAGTCCTCAAAATTCCACATATGTGGGTTGTCATTGGCCCTAATAATTGTGCTCCAAGTTTTGCACTAAATTCTTCCACAAATTAGAAATGAAAACACCATGTGCTTCAGAGGAATGAATGAAAAACACCTGCCCTCTCCCTCTCCCTCTCCCTCTCCCTCTCCCTCTTTCCCCACGGTCTCCCTCTCCCTCTCTTTCCACGGTCTCCCTCTGATGCTGAGCCGAAGCTGGACTGTACTGCTGCCATCTCGGCTCACTGCAACCTCCCTGCCTGATTCTCCTGCCTCAGCCTGCCAAGTGCCTGCGATTGCAGGCGCGCGCTGCCACGCCTGACTGGTTTTCATATTTTTTTGCTGGAGACGGGGTTTCGCTGTGTTGGCCGGGCTGGTCTCCAGCTCCTAGCCACGAGTGATCCGCCAGCCTCGGCCTCCCGAGGTGCCAGGATTGCAGACGGAGTCTCGTTCACTCAGTGCTCAATGGTGCCCAGGCTGGAGTGCAGTGGCGTGATCTCGGCTCGCTACAACCACCTCCCAGCCGCCTGCCTTGGCCTCCCAAAGTGCCGAGATTGCAGCCTCTGCCCGGCCGCCACCCCGTCTGGGAAGTGAGGAGTGTCTCTGCCTGGCTGCCCATCATCTGGGATGTGAGGAGCCCCTCTGCCTGGCTGCCCAGTCTGGAAAGTGAGGAGCGTCTCTGCCCGGCGCCATCCCGTCTAGGAAGTGAGGAGCGCCTCTTCCCGGCCGCCATCCCATCTAGGAAGTGAGGAGTGTCTCTGCCCGGCCGCCCATCATCTGAGATGTGGGGAGTGCCTCTGCTCCACCGCCCCGTCTGGGATGTGAGGAGCACCTCTGCCCGGCAGCCACCCTGTCTGGGAAGTGAGGAGCTTCTCCGCCCGGCAGCCACCCCGTCCGGGAGGGAGGTGGGGGGTCAGACCCGCCCGGCCAGCTGCCCCGTCCGGGAGGGAGGTGAGGGGTCAGCCCCTGCCCGGCCAGCCACCCCATCCGGGAGGTGAGGGGCGACTCTGCCCAGCCGCCCCTACTGGGAAGTGAGGAGCCCCTCTGTCCGGCCACAACCCCGTCTGGGAGGTTACCCAACAGCTCATTGAGAACGGGCCATGATGACAATCGCGGTTTTGTGGAATAGAAAAGGGGGAAAGGTGGGGAAAAGATTGAGAAATCGGATGGCTGCTGTGTCTGTGTAGAAAGAAGTAGACATGGGAGACTTTTCATTTTGTTCTGTACTAAGAAAAATTCTTCTGCCTTGGGATCCTGTTGATCTATGACCTTACCCCCAACCCTGTGCTCTCTGAAACATGTGCTGTGTCCACTCAGGGTTAAATGGGTCAAGGGTGGTGCAAGATGTGCTTTGTTAAACAGATGCTTGAAGGCAACATGCTCGTTAAGAGTCATCACCACACTCTCTAATCTCAAGTACCCAAGGACACAAACACTGCGGAAGGCCGCAGGGTCCTCTGCCTAGGAAAACCAGAGACCTTTGTTCACTTGTTTATCTGCTGACCTTCCCTCCACTATTGTCCTATGACCCTGCCAAATCCCCCTCTGCGAGAAACACCCAAGAATGATCAATAAAAAAAAAAAGTAAAATAAAAAGTCTAGAAAATATAGAAAAGCAGAATAATGTAATAACCCATCAACCAGAATAAACAGATGTTCACATTTTGTCATTTTTACTTTGTAGGGTTTTCTGGTTTCATTTTGTATTTTGATTTGAGAACTTTATAAAATAAAAACAGTAGGGCAAAGATGAAAAAAAAAATAAAAAATAAAAAAAAAAATAAAGGGGATGCAGCCCGACTGCCAGGAGCGGAGCGCGAGTCGGCCCAGCCAATGCGCATGCGTGAGGCGTGAGCGGCTTCCCCCATCACAGTGGTTCCCACGGTTGTCTTAGAAACCAGTCCCCGAGGCTTGGCAAAGCAGAAGCCCTCCGTGGCAGTGCTTGTGTGTTGGGGCTCTGAGGCTCCGGCCTGACCTCTCCACGGGGGCGACGGGAACTTCTCCAGATGCCAGGAGTCGCAAAGGGCCGACCACCATGAGGAAACCCCAGGCGGGGACGGGGGAAGCAGCACGGGATCCCAGCCTCAGGCCTGCCCGGATGGTGTTGGTTGGGGTGAGTCTCCCCAAAAGTCGTGCCGCCATCCGTGATCTCGAGGACAGGTTGGCCTGCGTGCCCCTGGGCTGCTCTCTCACCTGAGGGTCGTTCTCGTCGTGAGCAGAACCCCGCAGCCTCAGGGGTTGCCGGTGGTGTGTGTTTCAATGCCTCTGCTGTATGACTCTGTGTGTGTGTCTCTGTGTGAGTGTGTGTGTGTGTGTGTGTCTCTCCCATTCTCTCCTCTCTCTGTCTCTCAGTCTCTGTGTGTTTCTTTCCCTCTCTCTGTGGGTTTGTGTGTGTATGCCCGTGTGCGTGTGTGTCTTTGGCCAAATGTGCCCTGTGCGCCACAAAGCGGTTTGTCGCATGGCGGCCTGTCTTTGGTGAGCCTCTTTCTCCATCTCTGCCTGGGTCATGAGGCCGGCTGTCAATCGTTTTCGCCGCGGCAGATCCGCTTTGGGTGTGTGAAAGCCTGGCCCACGTGAGGAGATGCGTTGCTCCTGGAGCAACTGAAATCTCATCCCCATCCTGAGCGGCCTCTTTTCTAGGATCAAGATGAACACACTGCAGCTGAGGACAAGAGCCCCAGAGGAACTCTTTGTCCCACAGGAGAGCAGTGGATCCACGCCAGAGAAGATGCTTGTATATTTTCACGGCTCTTCTCTGAGAAATGAAGCCACACCATGATACAGTCAGCAAGCAATCTAGAGCAAAGGCTTCTTTCAACCCTCCCCCAAGCTCCCAATACAAGCCCAAATTCAGGAACAAGTCCTTTCCAACACCTCCTTCAGAGAGGCTCCCTGGCTCCAGGCAGTGCTTGCTCCCCTCACTGCAGCAGGAAGCCCAGCTTGCGAACTGCAGGTGTGCTCCAGGTGGTCGCTGGATGCAGGGTATTGACAGATGGATCCCATCGATACCACCACTGCATAACCATGTAAACATATCATCCCCCACTTGCACATGAGGAAACGGAGGTCCACAGGGTGGGGAAGGGAAGACATAATTTGTCCTTCAAATGCGATACCGGTGAGATGTGAGAGGCAGCACCCCTCATAACTCAGCGAGGCAGTGGGCACACCAGGACCCTCCCAGGCAGATCGGGTGTGTGGTCGCCCCCATTGCATAGCATGGGCGGGAGTTGGGGAGACCACACATTGGTCTCGCCACCTCTCCACTGGCCCGACCTCCCTGCAGATCCCCAGGACAGGGTTAGCATCTGCTTTCTGGCAGGCTTGGCCACCAGAGGTCTTTGCTTACGTCTAAGTTCCCTGTAGTTGTGGTTCACAGGATAGGGGCTGCTCCTGAGATTCAGCACCACACAGGCACTGCACAGCACTGTGCCATGGTGGTGGGCACTCACTTTCCAGATAGGGCCCAAGTTGCCAGCAGGCATGATGCATCATTTACCCTACCCTGAGTGCAATAGGTGGTTTTACAGAAAAAAACTTGGGCCAGGTGTGGTGGCTCACACCTGTAATCCCAGCACTTTAGGAGGCCAAGTCGGGTGGATCACAAGGTCAGGAACTCAAGACCAGCCTGGCTAATATAGTGAAACCTTGTGTCTATGAAAAATACAAAAATTAGCCAGATGTGGTGGTGGGCGCCTGTAGTCTCAGCTACTCAGGAGGCTGAGGTAGGAGAATCGCTTGAACCCAGGAGGCGGAGGTTGTGGTGAGCCAAGATCATGCCACTGCACTCCAGCCTAGGTGACAGAGCAAGACTCCATCTCAAAAAAAAAAAAAAAAAAGAAAAAGAAAAGGAAAAGTATTTGTAGATGAATGAAGGTGACTCCTTTGATTATTGGAAATGATTTTATTGTAGCCATTTGTCTGGCACTCATTCTGATGGGGTGACATGTGTCCCTGCCTTAGTCAGCAGAGCACAGGAATGTACTACACCTCCCCTCACCTGAGGATTCAGCCCATGAGCAGGAACGCCTGTCTTTGTGTCATACCAATAGAGAGGATGTGTCTGGTTACACCATTCACTGCAGAGGCAGAAATTACCCAGAAAGAAAAGAGAGTCTGTTCCCGGGAGTGTGTTCTTTTGACCCAGCATGGGGGTCATCTCCTTTCCTTGGCCAGGACCCCCAACCTGAACACAGAGGCAGAGAACATGTGAAGGGCTCCCATTCCCAGGTGGTCCAGGGTACAAGCTCTGAGCCTGTGGTCCTAGTCACTGCCCTTTTCTCCACAGCATGGCTGTCACCATCCTGGGCTGGGGCACAGAGGGCTTTGCAGAGATCAGCATAACAAAAGCATCACTGAGATGCTGCAATAGGAAACCGTGATACCTTCGTGGGCTGCCAAGGCAGCCTAAGCTATTTGTTGCTGCACTCAGTGTCCCCAGACAGCTGTGTGGCTGTCACTGCCTCTGGTGTGTCCATTTTACTTCTCTTCTCCTGCCTGAGCTTCTGCTCTGAACTCTGTCTCTAACTTACAAGAAATCAAGCTCACTGGATTCTGAGCTCTTCGGGGTCAAGTACTGTGTCAGTAGTTCATGTCTCTTTCTAGAGATCACAGCTGAGTATCTGGCACAGAGCAGATACTTAGCCAATGCCAAATGATTCATTTGCCGGAAAGCTGAATTTCATCCATAATCCTAGTCAATGCAAATACATTCTGCTGGTGGGGTTTGTTTGTCCTCTGAAGGCATTTTCCCAGGCTTTGTAAACACATACAGGCCATTTAGAAATTTGAATGTCAAAGAGTAAAGGATCTTAGAAAGTAAACATTGGAGAAGTGTGGGAGGGTGGTATTATTTGCAAAACATTCCTGGGTCCTTGTGAGTTCTATACACCCTTGATGAGCGCCAATTCTGGGCCAGGCCAGACACCCAGCTGGACCCAGGAGATACTGAGGTGAGTAAAGCCAAAATGCCTCCCTTCAGCAGGAGGCAGGCAGTTACACCAAAGTGATAAAGGCACAAAACCCAGAGAGAGCACAGGAGCAAGAACTACCTTGTTCCTGGACTGTGTGACCTCAGGGAGAGCTTTCTGCACAGAGGACATCTGTGCAGGGCTTGGAAGGATGAAAATAAATTTGCCTACCAGAAAAGGGAGCCAAGGAAATCCTGATGGAGAACAGCTTGGGTGAGAGTGTGAGCCACAGGATTGAGGGGCACAGGCATGGAACTGGAGGAGCAGAAAGAATGAGGGGGGATAAAGTTGGGAGGTCAGCAGAGGTCAGTCACAGAAGGTTTTGAATCCTGGTGAGGGACCAGTGGGTGCTGCACAAGGGACATGGGCCTGGAGGAGATGCAGTTAGCTCTGAGTGAAGATGCAGCATGCCATCCACTAGGGAACCACAAGATGCAATATAAATAAGAACCCTGAGAAGCCTGCACAAAGGATGAGGGGCCCAGGGGTAGCACCAAGAAGGTCCCTGTCAGAGGCCAGCTTTCAACGGAGACAGAAAAGACTCTTGAGGGCCTCAGCTGCTGCAAACCTCCTCAACAAATCATATTTTACCTTTAAATATTTGCTAAAGAATACTAACTATTGGAAGAGCAATGGTCCATTGATAATAATTATTCCCTCACTCACTGTACATTTTTTACAATTCTCAAAATGCTCTCGGTCCAGTGTCTCATTGGAACCCCCATAAAATCCCATTTTACAAATAGGGAAACAAGGCGCTGTGATGTCACACTGAAGTTTGCAGCAGTTCCAGGATAGAAAAGAGGGAGCACTTTCATCTCAGCCCTTGGTATAAGTCTCAAAGTTCCTTTTCTGGGAGGGGGTCCTTGAGGCCATCCAGCAGCCCATAGTCCAAATCTTCTTTTTCCTCCTTGGGCTTCTCCACACCTGTATCCGAAGCATCCTTCTCCTCCTTTGTTCTCAGGTACCACTACCAGTTGTTGGGCCGGGAGACCTCCTGCTGCTGCCAATCCTAGGGTGCATCCTCCAACATGGGTGCATTGTGGTTCAGCCAGCACCTACACCACCTGCAGCCCACCCAGGGCTCCTGTGGTGGGCCTGAGGTTCCTCCCTATCAAATGGAGATATGCTGGGGTTGCTGCCTTTGCTGAAGCCCATGTCCAGGTCATCTTGGGGGTGGCCAACGGTACAGGGCCCTGGGGACAGGCCAGAGGGCTGCAGGGGCAAAAACTAAAAGGATGAGGGGATCTCTGAGTCAGACCGCCTGGATCCACATCCCAGATACTAGCTGCAAGGCCTGGGGAAGACTGGTTTACCTCTCTGAGCGTCAGTTTCCTCCACTGTAAAGTGGGAGGTATAAAAGATTCACTCCTACAGTTGTCTCTGAGCTTTACAGCCGGTAATGTGTGCAAAGTACTTCGCACAATGCCTGGCACATGGTAGGTGATAATAAACAGGGTTACTATGATATCATCATCTGAGCTAGGTCACTCATGCACTTCTCCAATGCTTCAGGGTTCCCCTCCATCCCTCACAGGGTAGCAGCAAGTGAAAGGGATGCCCCTGGCCTTGAGGAGCTCACATCTTCTCATTTCCCAGGGGTCTCCATCCAGTGCCCACACATGCCTGGCATGCAGTAGGTGCCTCATCCACATCTGGTGAAAGAGTGGAAAGCAGGTCATTGTCATATATTGTTTGCAACCGAATCTGCAGTAGGGGACAGAGAAGTGAGTGACTGTAGTTGTGCCTGCTAGTTCCTGTCCCTGAACTTTCAGGGATCAAGAGGCCTTAGCAAGTCTAGTACCAGGGAGTGGGCACTGTGTGGTGGAGCAGGAGGCAGGTCCTAAGAAAGGCAGTGGGGTGAGGAGAGGAGCTCTGCCTTTGAGGTCTGGGAGATCCTCCACCAGGACCTCACCAAAGGCCCCAGGCATTCATCCCTCCTCCCAGAATCTCTCTATGCTCTTCTGTATAATGGGGCTAACCTGGAAGAGATACATGCAAAACCATGTTCAGAGCAGCATCATCCACAATAACCAAAAGGTGGAAGCAACCCAAGTGTCAATGGATGGATGGACGGATCAACAAAATGCTGTCTATGCATACAGTGGAATAGTGTTCAGCCTTGAAAAGGAAGGAGAGTCCGACACGTGCTGCGTCAAGAATGAACCCGAGGACATTAGGCTGAACAAAATAAGCCAGACCAAAAAGACAAATGCTGTATTATCCCACTTTTCCAAGACACCTAGAGTAGTCAAATCCATAGAGACAGACAGGAGAATGGTGGCTACCAGGTCCTGGGGAGGGTGGGGATTGGGGAGTTGTTTTTAAATGGGTTACAGAACTGTAGTTTTACAAGATGAAAAGCACTCTGGAAATTGGTTGCACAACATTGCGAATGTATTTAATGCCACTGAAATGTAAATTTAAACATAGTTAGACAGTAAATTTTAGTTCATTTTGCCACAATTTTTATAATGGGGTAGTTATGCCTGTCTCCTTGTGTTGCTGTAGGATTTCATGAGATAACATATAAGGAACCACCCAGCATGTTGCCTGGCACATAGTAATTGCTCAATAAATCACAACTGGATGCTATTGAAGATAAAGTTACCTGACTTCTCTGAAGCTTGCTCTTTTCAGTTGAAAATTCTCCCAAAATATATTAGATGAGACCCTACTGTATTATAATGGGTTCATAAATAGCACTCCCCCTTTTCCCTTCCCACAGAGTGCAGTGAATAGAAGACACTTCTCTGCACCCCAAAAGCTCCATGCTGATTGCAAGAAGGAAATGCTGGATGGAGGGCTTCCTGGAACTACTGTGAGGGGTGAGATTTCCCCAGATGTCTAGAAATGACGCAGGGGCCCGACATCTTCCACCCCCACTAAGGTTGCCTTGCAGTTCCCAGCTGGCTCTATACTTCCTAGAAACAGCCACTTTTCTGCCTCCATTACCTCATAGCCCAGTCAGCACCATTATCATCATCACCATGATTGCCATCACCATCCTTACAATCACCAACACTATCATCATGGCCATCACCATTCTTACCCTTGCCATTCTCACCATCATCAACACCAGCATCTTCACCATAACTATCACTATCGTTATCACCACCTCCACCTTCACCATCACCATCCTCACCATCATCATCACCACCATCAAAATGATCCTTGCTACATGGAACCATGCATTCTGGGTAGGAGGGATCTTTGGTCAGGGCATCTAACACATCTTGTAGGATAGAAACCCAGCCCCTCAGGGTCTCACAGTTGGTGAAATAACTGATTCTTGTGAGGTCATATTCCTCTGGGTGATGTGGGATGTCACAAGACCAATAAATATGGGTTGAAGCCCATCGCATCACTTCTTTTTTTGTAAAATAAGCTCCATCTTCAGTAGTAATTGTATGATAGCAGAGAATAAGAACTCAGCAAATGTAAATAATTTGATGCTATGAGAAGCATATGAAGTGGAGTCCGTATTCGGAAATGCATCTATTCCAGTGAGGGCAATTCTTTACCACTTCCATGAAGGAAGGGAAAAAATATTATTACAACATTACCAGAAATCTGTCTGGTCTAGGCAAGGTAGTTCCTCTTTCCAGGGTCTCAGCATTGCTCATTGTCGGCAGTCAGGGCACTCATCTGGGCAGTAGGCAGCACTGCTGCAGGGAAATTCATGTTATTGGAAACATGTAGCATCTTCTCCTGCTACCATCGCCACATTGTCCATGAACCCACTGGGCAAACGATGAGGAATCTGGGAAAAGTTCTCATAACCAGAATATAATCATCCACATCAGGATATCAGCATTCACCCAACACTACTGTCCAATCAACAGATCCAAATTTTCTCAGCTGTGCCCTAAATACATTTTTTTGAACTTTGTAATCCAGGATCCAATCCAGGAGTTCCCATTGCATTAATTGTCATGACTATTAAGTTCCTTCAACTTCAAACAGTTCCTCTGTTTTGCCCTATTTTTCATAAACTTAAGAGTTTTAAAGAGCATACACACTTATGAAGGATGTGTTTACCTTTTTCCATCTGATGTGTTTCCACATCCAGACTTAGGTCATGTATCTTTCACAAGAAAACCACAGAAATAATGCTGTGGTCTTCCTAGGACATCACAGCAGGAGGCACATGATCAAGTTTGTGCCAGATTTCTCCACCACAAAGTCATCATTCTTCCAATTGTAATTGAGAAGTATTTCATATGAAGATATTAATTACACATACACATGAATGTATATTTATATGTAAAATACATACAAAATATTATTTCAATGTCTAACCAATATAAAAGTTATTAATTAGATATGTTTAATTTTATTTCCTACTAAGTCTTCAAAATCTGGTGTGTGTTTTACCCTGACAGCACATCTCACTCCAGCCTAGCCACATTTCAAATGCTCAATATTCACATGGCTGTGGCTACCATATTTATCAGGGCAGCACTAAAGCACTAAAAAACTTCTTCCTTGGAGAAGTTCTAAGCTTTCAAAATGTTTGGCAAATACATTTTATAAAATTCTTCAGAATCCATAAATAGGCAATTACACATTTAGTAAGTCATATAATCCAACATGACATTAAAAATGAATCCCTCGACAAAAAAGAAGGTAGGCAACATTTTCTTCAGACCAAATGGACAAATCAATTATGATTACCTAACATGCCCATTATTATTTATTAACATCCTTCATTAATACCCCCAAACCCCATCAACAGGTAAATGAACAAATGCACTGAGGCCTATCTGAACAATGTCCCAATTCCTTACCATTCTTACTACTTTTGCAAGCAGAAAAGACTCAGTATTAGCAAAGACTATTCAGATAGTTTGTTCTTATGCCAGTAGTTGTAATTTCCTGGAGGTCTATGTGACATCAATTATGTACTTCAATACTTCTCACAAGTACTTTTCCTGTTTGGCCATTTTCTGCAGTATATCCATGCTCCCATTTTCTCTATTCTTTTATTTCTATCCTAGACTTTTCTTTCATCCTATAAATCTTTATCCTAAAAATATTAATTTAAGGATAACATCACAAAATAATATATTTCTTCAGATGATACTCCAAATTGATACCTAATATACAGAAATGACTATCATGGACGTAACCCACAACATGTGAAATGTATGGCTCATTCTACTGACATTATAAAGGAAAGTTAATGACAACTGAATTTCTAGTCATTTTCCACCCAACCAGTTGCTTATAAACTGGCAAGGAATTGTAGGTATGTACACAGTGGCTATTTTTTGGTGGGGTGTTCAGCAACTCTCCTCTTGAGAGCCCCCCTTTTCTTTGGGGACCATTTCAATGAGCACCAACTAGGCCTGACCCAACCTAAAAGCCCCAGCCCTAGAGGTGATCATGATGCCAAGTTCTGGCAAAAGACTCTACCCTTGGATCATAGCAACTGTTTCAGTACTATTTTTTTGGAATCATCAGGAAGGACTCTTGCTTTTTCTACCACTGTGGTATGTGAGGACAAAGTAAAGTGGGTTATTTCTAGTACTATCTCTTGCTACAAAGAGAGAAGAGAGTCATCTTCAGAAGGAAAAAATGAGGCTAAAACAAAAGGAAAAGTGTCAAGAGAAAGAAGGAAAACATTTCTTGATGATTTTATATAAGCCCCTGGGTCCAGCTATGCATGACAGTGACTTGGGTTAAAGCTCTGTCACTTATGGGACCATTGACTTAAATATAAAATAAAGTATTAAAAGCTATGAACTTTGAGATGAAAATAAAGAAAATTTGTAATATTCAATTAATCAAAAACATCTTAGATGAAGCCCCAAAAACCAAATGCAAAACAACAATTAATAAATTTGACCCCATCAAAATTGAGAGCATCTGCTAACTGAAAGATAGTGTTATGAGAACACAAAGAAAACTCAAGGGGAAAATACTGGCAAGTCTCATATCTAATAAGGGATTTGAATCTAAAGTATATAAAGAAACTGTTAAAATTTAATAATGAGAAAATAAGCAAAGAATAAAACAAAAAAGGGAGAAGCAAAAAAATGTGAACATACACTTTACCAAATATATACAGATGGCATGTAAGTACATAGATACTAGATATTATTAGGCATTATGGAACCACAATAAAATACTATTGTACACACATGAAAATGCCTAAAATTTTAAAAGAAGGCCCATACAAAATGTTGGCAAGAGTGTGGAATTCTTATATACTGCTGATAAAAATATAAAATGGTACAACCATTTTGGCAAACATTTTGACAGTCTCTTAAAACTAAACCTAAACCTGTTAACTATTACACTCCTAATATTTACTCAAAGTTATAGGAACTTATGTACATGAATGTTCATTGCAAATGTATTTGTATAAGTCCAAAACCGGAAGCAATGCAAAAACCCATCAACAGGCAAATGGATATATAAGTTGTGACCGATCTGCACAATAGAATACTACTCAGTCATAAAATTAATGACCTATTGATGACTGCAATATAGCTGAATCTCAAAATAATTATGCTGTGTGAAAAATGCCAGACCCCTCCAAAAAAGGGTGCATATTACACTTCATTTATATAAATGTCTACACAAGGCAAACTATTTTATAGTGACAGATTGGTGATTGCCAGGGAGTGTGGTAAGGTAGGAAGATACAGAAAGTTTGGGATTATAAAAGGGCAAGGGGAAACTTTTTTGAGTGCTGGATATGTTCTTTATTTTTATTTTGGTGATGTATTTGCAAGTACATATACAAAATAACACGCAATGGAAGTAGAAACAGTATTTTTGTTCCTTTCTTAAAAAAGCACAATTTACTTACTATTGGGATGTGTGTGCCTGTTGGGCACACAGCACAACTTTTCAAATCTTAAAATCGGACTGGATCTCAACCACTGGACCTTATTCTTATTCCACACTGACTTTAGTACAATACTTGCTTTCTTCGTGGTAATTAACAACACCCACCCTAAAGGTAAAGAAATGCACTTCTAACTAAGTACTTTTGAAACTATGAACTGCCTCAGGCTAGTAGTTCTTAAGGTCTCCAGCAAATGTTGCTTTGTTTCCCTCAAAAATATACAGCCTGGGCAACATGGCAAAACCCCATCTCTACTAAAATTACAAAACTTAGCCAGGAATGGTGGTGCACGCCTGTTGTCCCAGCTACTCAGGGAGGCAGAGGCTGCAGTGAGCCTAGACCTCACACTCCACTTCAGCCTGGGGGACAGAGTGAGACCCCCATCTCAGATACAAACGCACACATACACATACTCACACACTATCCACTGGTGCCCGTCAGTTAAACACAGCATCTCAGGGCACCTTAGCACACAGTGTGAGAGTAGTGGTCCTAAACACTTCAATTAAAAGTGAAACATCTCTGGCTGGATTTTTAGAATATTTACTTTTTAATGTTTTATATTATATTTATTTTTTATGTTTTAATTAATTTATCTGAATACAAGAATCTAGACATTTGGAAGTAAAACAGTGGAAAACATGTCTGAAAACACTAATCAGCACAAAGCTCGTGTTGCTATGTTATTATTGACAGTTTAGTCTTAAGCCAAGAAATATTGCTAAGATAAAAGAGATTTTACAATGTGAGTCACTAGAAAAGTATGCCAATGTTAAATATGTATAAATATAAAATATCCCTTCAAATTATTTACTACAGAAACTGATATAACTAAAAGAAAAATGGACTAATTACAATATAGATTTTAACATACCTTTCAGTTACCGATGGAACCAACAGAAAAAATCCATAAGAGAAAGGGAGATTTGATGAACACAATGAACGAACTTGACATAAACTGACATATACAGAACGCGACACTCAACAACTACTGAATACACATCCTTTTCCAGTGCACGTATCATATTTACCAACATAGATTATATGTTGGAATTTAAAGGGACTCATCAAAGAGTATTCAGTCATGGGATTTTGCCTAAACTTGTCTGGCCTTCAACAGGGTTCAAATACAGTTAAATTCTTATTTCATCTAAAGAGTCCTATCCTTTTTGTTTTGGAAATTTTACCACAACAATCTAAATTTGCATAACAACTGAACCCAGCCCTTGGAACTTGAAGTTTATTCTAGCCAAAGGCAGATTAAACTGTCTAAGTAGTAATGTCCTTCAAATTGTTGTCCCCTGCTCCAGTAATGGAGTATAGCTCCAAGAAGCTAACAGACTATTTGTCCTTCATAGTATACATTCTGTTATATCAAAACACGGTATAAAGCCTTGAAATCAGCAGCAGAGAGAAAATGAGATCAACTACCATCGAGCTGTGACCTCACTACTTAGTAATTACACTTTTAGCTGACTCCTTTACTTGATTCCTAACCGCTTATTTCTGGCAGGGTAGCACTGATATCTGACCAAGCTGACCTTTTAAGAAGTGAACAGAATGAAAAGGCTCTACCGCTAGTGATCAGTTTAACAAGCTGCAACACTAGTCACTGGCTGCAACTCTAGTCACTGGCTGCAACTCTAGTCACTGGCTGCAACTCATATTGTGGGATTTAAGAGCTCAGAATTAACATGGAAATACTATTGACTCCAAAAGAAACCCAGAAATCTCTGGGAATCCAGCAAAGATAAAAAGGGTCCTCTCAATAGTCACCACTCACACTTTGCTTTGTTTTGGTAACTATTTTATTACATACGGAGAATATCAAAAAAGTATGTCTTTTCCTCATTGTGAATGTTAACCCTAAAATGGTAAGGCTCTTGCATGTTGAAACCCCCAGGCTCTCACTGGCCCTTCAACAGAAGGCAGTGAAGTCACCTGCAAGAGTGATTCACCCAAGAGCTTCCAGGCTGGACAAGTTGAGACTCAGTTCTTGCAGTTCCCAAATTCACAGTTCTCTTGGGACATGGTTATTTATCGAGCTCCTGAAGATGAGAAATTCCACCCAGGAAATTCTGTTTATAAAAGATTATTCACATCTAATTATCTCAGGAGACATTAACACAGCAATGTTGAAAATTTTCCATTAATTGTTAATCCACGGAGAAAAACTGAACGATTATTTTTTAAAATATGAAAAGCTTCATATAATACAAATTAAACTCCCACATGTGATTCAATTTCTAGTCATTAATGACAGAGAAGTTAATAATTACGAATTGCCAGTGTTAAAAAAAATAAATCATTCATCATTGGAGAAGTGCAGAAGGTTTAAAAGATATAAGAATTAGTTTTTGGCTTTGAGGCGTTTTATGCTTTCCAGAAGGTTTTGCTCTTTTTTTTATTTTTGCTCATGGCTTTCTCTCTCTCTCTCTCTTTCTTTCTGATTTCAGTTTCTTTTGATTTCTCCTGCTTAGAAATGGTAGAGAACTTTGGATGTGGAACGTGGAGTATGAGGAACACGAAGTGAAGGTCCGCACTTCGGGTGGTCAGCACTGCCATGCCCAGCAAAGGCACTGCCTGGTCCACATCCCAGAGGGGTCTCTGAGCCCCAGTCGGCATCGCAGCTGATGGTGAAACTTTTGGTGTGGCAGTAGAGTGTCTACAAACTTTAGAAGGTATCCGCTGCCTCCTCCATAGCCGTGTATCACTGCCGAGGGCGATCATCTCTAGGATCGGAACGTCCTGCTCATGGGCCAGGGCTGGCTGGCTGGAGCCACTTGCGTGGCGCAGCCCTGGCTGAGGTTCAGGCGGCCCCGGTGTCGCAAGCGGCTGTGAGTGATGCCTCCTTGGGGCCGGAGGGGTCCCAGGAAGGCGGCTGACCAGCGCGCAGCATGGTGGCCGGCCGCGATGGAAGGTGACGGGGTTCGCAGCGCCAGGGGATCCAGCAGAGCCCGAGCCCGGGCATCCCGCGTCTCCAGCAGCACCGCGGGTAGGCCTGGCGCTGGTGACGTGGCGGCCAGTGCACAAGGCCCACGACCCAGCCCCAGAGGCCAGCCCATCGTCAGCTAACTTCAGGAACCCCGGGCCAGCTTGAGGCCCCGGGCCCCACGGGCAAGACAAAGGGCAGAGGGCCGCAGGCGGGGCCAAGAGCAGGCAGTTCAGGCCTGGCTCCACCGCTGCGGAGCTCGCAGGGCGCAGCAGGCACCAGGCAGCGACCAGGGCTTCCAGAGGAGGCTGTGCACCCCTGCAAAGGCTCCTGCCCGGCGTCCGGCCTATCCGTGGGGATTCCACGTGCACCCCCTCCTCATTGTCCTTGTCTAGGGCCGCGGCAAGGTCCTCGCTCCCATGGCGTGACTCCGGGGGCGCAGGAGCCTGGGCCGAGCAGGTGGAGTACAGTGAGCTCCGCCAAGAACCCAGCGAGAGTGGCGCCCCAGGGAGGCACAGGAGGCCGCATTTAACGTGTCAATCATCTCAAAGGTTTTATAGCATCTTCTTTTTCTTGACATCTTATAATATCTGTAATGTCTATTATATCTTATAATTATTAAAACCACTTCATTGTGATTATGATTAGTTTTATACCAACACATCTTCAATTATTAATATTCCCAGTTGCTAGAGAAAAATGAAAACGACTAGTTTTGAAAGCCTTACTTCTGCCAATGGAAGCACATTCCAGCATGTCGCCAACGCAATCCACTTTCCACCACTTTCACAAGAAACGTTACTGCACAATTATACTATCCTACCCTTATATACCTTTTGTGTGTATGTGTGTACTTGTATGCACGTATGTTACATATGATATATATATACACACACACACACACACATATATATATAAACTATGCCAGAGATGAACAAGTATTAGGAAATTAAATGCACACAGATCATATCAGTGCTATGTATAATGTGATGTACTAAGTATAGATGTTCAACAGTGTGGGATCTAGGCTGGAACAAGACTCCTAGTCTTAAGCAATTCTTTCTAGGTTCAGTCTCTGGAAATAATGCTTTGTATCAAATGTGTGAGAAAATTAATGGGTTTTAAAGACTATTCTATGTCAACTATAACATTTCATTTGGGGATTTCTGTCCCTTATAATATCTACCTCATTTTGGATGGATTCCTTGAAGCCTGGTTTATTTTTCTCTTCCTTTCTACACATCGCTGCTCAGAGTGATGAATGGAGTTGTATTTTGAATAAAATAGCTAAGCATCCTTTTGTGAGCAAGGAGCATGATGGTACTTAGACCTACCACTTCTCGTTATGGTGGTTACAGTTACAGTGGGGCTGGGGTGTTTACCTGGAGCCTGGACGTCCACTGGGACTTGATACCCACTGGGATTTTTTTGTGTCAACCTGGTCTCTGATGTCCACCTGGGGAGTGGGTATCCACCTAAGGCCTGATGTTTACCTGGAGCCAGATGTGCACCTGAGGCCTGATGTCTATCTGTGGCCTTATGTTCACCTGGGGACTGATGCACACCTGAAGCATAGGTATTCACCTGGGGCCTCATATCCACCTGTAGTATGGGTGTCAACCTTGGGGCTGATGTTCAGCTGGCGTCCACTGTCTACCGGGGGCCTGGTGTACACATGGGGCCTGGGCATCCACCGGACACTTGATGTTTAATATGGTCTGGAGTTCTCTTGGGGCCTGTTGTATCCTGGAGCCTGGGTGTACACCTGGAGCCTGATGTCCCAGGTGTACACCTGGGTCCCAGGTGATCTTCAGGCCCTAGGTGAAAACTCCAGGCTCTAAGTGGACAACGAGGCCCCACGCTGATGTTTACTGGGGCCAGATGTCTACCAGGCCCCAGGTGAAAACTCCAGGCTCCAAGTGGACTACATGGTCCCAGGTTCCAGGTAGACACTGGAATCCAAATCAACACCAGGCCCCAGATGGACACCCAGGCCTGTGGTGGACATCAGACTCCGGAAGGTCATCTGGCTCGAGGTGTATATCAAGCCCCAGGTGGATACCTAGTCCCCAGGTGGATATCAGGCCCCACTTTGACACCAGTCCCTGGGTAGATACCTAGGCCTCAGGTGGATATCCAGTCTCTAGCTAAGCATCAGGCTCCAGGTGGACCCAGGCCCCAGCTGACTGGGGACTAGTGTTCATCTAGGGCCACATGTCCATCTGGGCCCTGGGTGTCAACTCGTAGCCTGATGTCAACCTGGGAGCTGGTGTTCACCAGAGGACTAAAGTCCTCCTGGTGCCTGATGTCCAACTTGGGACATTGTGTCCACCTGGAGACTGATGTTCACTTGGGACCAGATGTCCAACTGGAGCAAGATGTCCACCTGTAGCCTAGAACTTCACCTAAGGCCTGATGTTCCCCAGGGCCTACAGGGCCTGTGTATCTACCTAGGGACTTGTGTCCAGGTGGGGCCTGAGTTCCATCTGGGGCCTGGAATTAACCTGGGACCTGATGTCCGCCTGAGGCATGGGTGTTCCTCTGGAGTCTGATATCTATCTGGGGCCTGGGTGTCCTCCTGTGGTCTGATGTCCACTTGAAGTCTGGTGTCCACCTGGGGCCTGGGTGTCCACTTGGTACGTGATGTGCACCTGGGACCTGAGTTTCCACCTATGGCCTGATGACCACCTGAGACCCAGGTGTCCACCTGGGGTCTGATGTCTACCTGAAGCCTAGGTAACCACCTAGGAGATGGTGTTACCTGTGCCTTGATTTCTACCTCAGCCTGCTGTACACCTGGGGCCTGGGTGTCCATATGAGGCCTGACGTACACTTCAAGTCCAGTGTCCACTTGTGGCCTGATGTCAACTTGGAAGCTGATATCCACCTGGGGACTGATGTTCTCCTGGGGTCTGATATCCAACTGGGATCAGATGTTCACCGAAGGCCTGCAGTTAATCTGGGGCCTGATGGTCACCAGGGTCCCAGGTGTCCACCTAGGGCCTGATGTCCACGTGGAGTCTAGTATCCGCCTTGGCCCTGATGCTACTTGAGGCCTGGGTGTCTTCCTAGAACCTGAGTCCCCAGCTAGGCCCTGATGTCCACCTGAGACCTGGTGTCCTTATAGGGCCTGATATCTACCTAAGGCCTGGGTATCCTCCTGCAGCCTGATGCTCACCTGTAGGCTGGTGTCCATATGGGGCCTGGGTGTCCACCTGTGAGCCTGATGTACACCTGGAGTCCAGTGTCCCCTTGGTTACTAATACGTACCAGGAAAATGGTATATACCTGGGGCCTGATATACACCTGGAGCCTGTATGTCCACCTGAGCCCTGATGTCCACCTGGGGCCTGGTGTTTACCTGGGGCCTATATCCACCCACTACCCAAAGTCAAGTTGGGAAAAGGACCCAGGATAGGTGAGGAGCACAGAACAGGGACCTCATTCATAAGAAATTCTGCCGTAGAATGGGTGCTCTAAGCTCTTAAAACAGCCTCGGCCTCAGGAAAGACTGTCCAGGGCATAGGAAGCCCACACACAGGGTGGGATGACAAGTTTGCATCTGGCTCTGCTGGGAGCCCTGGGGGCCTCTGCCCTTTTGGCCGCGTTGTCTCCTGCATCTTATGTTGGTGGGATTCTGGACTCTGATTGCAGCAGGTGGATTCACTTAGCTCTCCTCCCCTTTTAGCATTACTGTCTTCTGTAATAAACCTCTCACTTTGATCTGCCAGGCTGTCAAATGCTTTGATTGGCCTCTCTGATTTGTTCCAATGGTTCATCAATCCAAATATCCACAATAGAAGGACAGATTTTAGTCTCTTCATACAGTGGGATATTTCACAGCTATTAAAACAAATAAAATAAATGCTTGTATATTGATATGCAAAGTTGTCCCACATCAATAACTTTTAAACACATTTTATGATCCCACATCTATATCTATACATAACATTTGCCACTGCTTAAACAAAACAAAATCTGAGCTTTAAACTCCAAATGGAATTACAGAGGAGTCTTGATGTCTGTGTTCCGCAGTTCTGTCATGTTTGAAATTGTCAAATAAACATGCTGCCTTTCCAGTAGCCACTCAGAATTCCTCCTCTCTGTCCACAAAGCATTGTCACCCTCCCTGTCCCATTTGCCCCAGCCCGGTGGAGCTTGCTGAGCTGGCACCATCATCTCTTGTAATAGACAAAGACATTGAGGACCAGAGAGGGGAAGCACCTTGTTGACATCCCACAGCTCTGAGTCAAAGTGGACTTTGACTCCCTTACTAGCTGTTTCCTAAAGTCCAGGGAGCCCTGGAAGCCCAGGAATGTAAGGGCTGGAGCCTGGGGCTTTCTGTCCAGAAGTAGGGGAAGTGGGGCTACAGCTAACGGCTTGAGTGCATTTCCTCTCAAGTACAATAAGGGCTGCTTTGTTAGATGCAAAATATAAATGGCTGCCTGCAAATTTGTCAGGTAATGTGTTTGTCTCCCCTATGGGACTATAAACTTGGTATAAGCAGGGACCTGTCTGAATCACCCTAGTGTCCCCAGCACCAGGCCAGAGCCTGACATATAAAATGACTGACTTCATTAAATACCAACACCTTCTAGGTGCCAGGTACTGCTCTAGATGTTGGAATCTGCAGTGCATAAGATACCCAGAATCCCTGCCCCTGTGTAGCTCTCACTGTAGTAGAGCAGAACAGATGATGAATAAATAAGCATGCAGGGTGTGAGATGGGTGGGAGAGCTGCATTGCGGAACCGGGCAGTGTGCAAAGTGGACACTCAGGAAAGAACCTGAGGGTTGAACTATGGATATGATGGAGAAAATTCACCCCTAACATGAGTGCAGACACTCTAGCTACAATAACAAGCGAAGGTGGAGAAGGAAGCACAGAGGCAAGCAGCTGGGGAGATGTGGGGGTGGGATCCAGGGAAGGTTCTCTCTTTATTGCATCTATTTTCAAATTGAAGTAGGAAGCAAGGCAGCAGGTGTAAGGAAGGCTGGGGAAGGTTTTAGAGGTTTAAGGAGGAAGGAGAAGGCACGATACTGTTGCTTGGGGACAGGGCAGCACTTCCAGAGCTGGGTGCCTGGGCTCCAGGGCAAGTCACTTCATCTCTTCCTGTGCCAGCATCTCCTCAGCTGTGAAATGGTGATTATTATAGAACAGATTCATAGAGTTTTATCATAATTAAATCAGTTGGTATTCATAAAATACTTAGATTATATATATTTTTATTAAGATAACAAATAAAGAAGTCTGGCAGACTTATGGACTCGGGAAATGAGTGAGTTTGTAGGACATCATCCAGGGCCCACTGGAGGTTTGGGCTTGGTGATTAAGTGAGAGCAAAAGGCACGTGTGTTTCTCTCTGGCTGTGCTCAGCCACCTGACTGCAGGAGCAGAGGGAGCGGGTGGCTGGCTTTCAGCAGAGTGCAGTTTTGCCCTGGGAGCACAATTAATTGTGGGGCAAGAGAGTGGAGAGTGTTAGAGAGGGTGGATGACAGGCTGGACCATATAGTCTCAGCTGGGAGGAGGGGAAATTTGCAAGAAACAGAGTGAGACACAAAAGTGAAAATTTGGAGTCATTGAAGTGTCTTGGAGTTGGGAGGCAGCTGGAAAAAGGAAAGTTGTGGTCAAAAAAAGCGTGTTTGAAATTGAGGGTCTGGAGTAGCTACAGTTTCTGCAGTGACAAGGACAAGAATATACAGGTAGGAGTGGGTGACTCAGGGAGGGTGGAGACAAGGTCTCTAGGGGTGGAGGGACCAAGAGCCAGAGCATGAGGAGGACTCTCTATGTGCATGTTGGAATCACCTCAGCAGGAAAAAGTGCCCATGAACTGGGAGCTAAGTCTTCAATGCATAGGGATGTGGCCCTGGGTGCAATCTGAGGGCAAGAGCTTCAATATTGATTCCCTTCGTGTGTCACTGTGTCCTTGGGTAATTTTTCTTTGTGTGAACATCACAGAGTGTGCTTACACACACCTCAATATTGTACCTACTGTACACCTAGGCTCTATGGCACAGCCTACCGCTCTCAGGCTGCACACCTGGGCACAGGTTACTGCAGTGAATATTGTTGGCAGTTGTAGCACAATGGTCAGTACTTGCACATCTAAACATATCATGAAAAGTACAGTAAAAACATAGTATTGCACTATATAAAAATGTAGTATGGTACCTAGACATGGTGCACTGGTCTAGGACACTTACCATGAATGGAATGTGCAGGGCTGGAAACTTCTCTGGGTGAGTCAGTGAGTGGTGAGTGAAGATGAATTCCTAGGGCATGACTGTGCACTACTGTAGATTTTATAAACACTGGACACTTAGGCTACACTACAAGACATATATTTCTTTTTCTATAGAATTATAAATCTTTTTTAATAAATATATTTTTAAAGTAACTGTGCCATAACGTTACAATTGTTATGTCACTGGGCTAGGCAGTAGGTGTCTTTCGGCTCCATTATAGTTTCATGGATCCACCACTGCACATGCGATCTGGGTTGATGGAAACATCATTTCATGGCACATGAATGTATTTTTATGGGAGAGCAGGATGATGAGCTGAAAGAGGGAGGCAATGAGAAGCAAGGAGGACCTATCCTGCTCAGGTCCAGGGAAGGGCTGCAGCAGAGGACCGCAAGGCAGCAGTGTCCTCAGGGGATTGGGCCTGTTACTCACAGCAAGGAAGAAAAGGAAGAGTTCCCTGAGGCTGCTGAAAACCAGGGGGCTGCTGGTGCTGGAGCAGGATGTTGAGGACATGCAAAAGGGTTTCAGCAAGGGAGGGAGGGAGGATGGAACTGGGGAGTGAGGGTCAGCCCAAGATAACCAGGCCTCTCCCAGGAATCTTCTGGCCACTCAGAAGCAGTGGTGATGCCCACTTGAGCCCACAAAGGGCACCCAGTGCCCAGCATGAGAACCTGGCTTGCTTATTGTCCAGCCCTGACACAGTCCAGCCATTGCTGCCACCTACTGTAGCCCCTAAGATGGATCAGCCTGGCCAGGTCCTCAACAGCCCTCACTGAGGCAGGTAAAAACACAGGCACCTGTGATAAGAGGCAGGCAGAGGTAAGTCACATAGTAGTGGCAGACCAGGTGCTGCAGGAGCCCAGTCAGATGGGCACTGAATCCAGGCAGGCTTTCTAGAGGCAGTGACTCAGGATTTGTGTTCCAGTTGTGTTGGTGGCACATCCAGGAAGCAGCGCATGGTCCAGCTGGGCACATTGGGAATGGAGGCTGTTTTTTTGTTTTTGTTTTTGAGATGGAGTCTCACTCTGTCTCCAGGCTGGAGTGCAGTGTCATGATCTAAGCTCACTGGAGGAGGCTGGTTTTTAATGAGTCTTGAAGCCAAGGCAAGGGTCATGACCAGGATCCAGCCTCAGTAATACATTCACCCCTTCACCCTGGGGCACTGCTGCAGGCCCACCATCACCAGCCTACATTTGCTCCCCTCCTGCCCTCTCTTCCCAGGAAGCCCCTCACCTGTCACTTCATGAAGAATATGGAAGCCAAGGAGGTCTTCTTCAAGCATTCCTCTCCACCCATGCACTTCCTCCCTCCCTGCCAGCTTCAAAGGAATTGATGTCCAGAGAGACCTTCCCCAGTTGCCCCACCTTTCCATCAGCCCCTTCCAGGAACTGTCCTCTGACGTCTCTCTGTCTAGATCTCCCTGTCACTCTTGTGCACACCAAGACTGTTCTCCCTTTTCCTGTCAGCCACTGAGTCCACTCAGATATCTTCTGCTTCCCAAAATTAAAATTACAAACCAAAACAGAAACAGCTTCCATGGCCTTACACATTGTAGACACTTGGCTACAGCAGTGAATGACATAGACAAAGTCCCTTTCCTCATGTAGCCCTCATGCCAGTAGAGTGAAACAGGTAATAAATAAACTAGTCAAATGTTCAGCATGTGAGTTGGTGATGAGAGGATGGTGCTTCATGCCTGTAATCCTAGTGCTTTGGGAGGCCGAGATGCGAGGATGGTTGAGGTCAGGAATTTGAGACCAGTCTGGGTAACATAGTGAGACCCTGTATCTACAAAAAATAAAATAAAATAAAATAAAATAAAGGAAAAGTGGAGGATAGAATGTATCAGTAGGAAAGGGGGATGGGAGAGCCACATTTTAGACAAGGTGGTCCAGGAGGGTATAGCTCCAACCACTATTCCTCTGGCCCATTCCACATCTATCCCCATCCCACCCCCTGCACAGTCCTTGGGTCAAAGCCTCTCAGTCCTGTTTGTATTTCTCCAAGAGTGATCCAGGGACCAACTGCATCAGAACTGTGGGGTGAGGTCACAGCCCCTGCCTGTGAGAAGCGCAGATTCCTCTGCCTGAACCAGAATCCCTGGGAACAGGACCCAGGAATTTCCCAAGATCTCTGGGGGACTCTGAGACAGCCCAAAGTATGGGAGCTGCAGATTTCCTCCTGAAAAGGGAGCACTGTTTCAAGGGGTCCAGGTCACCCAGCTCTACCTTGTAGCCACCAGACCAGTCTGAGCCTTGGAGAATGCTGCTCTTTCCTCCTGGAATGCCCTTCCCAGTTTTCCTTGCCTGGTAACTCTTACACATCCCTCAAGACCCAACTCAAGGGCCACCTCCTCCTGACATCACTCCCTGAACTTTCTCCTGTGTTTCCATTCTTTTCTTCACCAACTGATGTTGACATTTCTATGGGACTATCTCTCTCTCTCTAGACCAGAAACGCCTACAGTTGCAGCCCCCTGTAGTGCAATTTGTGTCAGTCTGGGGAGAGTGGATTTGGAGCCCAACCACCATTGAGGAAAATCCGTCTGATGGACATGGTGGGTTCCAGCCCAGACGCAGGGCTCAGCGAGGGGTGGTGTGACAGTGAGCACAGACCCTGAGTGGTGGTGAGAGTGGCTGTCATGGGGAGGAAAGGAATGGAAAACGGACCTCATGGGAGCAGAAAGAAAGGCCTTAGCTGCAGATGGGCCAGGACCCCGCCAGGAATCCAGAACATGCATCATAATCCCAGCTCCGCTATAAGTCCACGGCGGAACCCTGGCAACGATGTTCCCCTTTCTGAGCCTCATTTTACTCATCAGTAAAATGGTGACAATAACTCCAATTTCACCAAGGAGATGCAAGGCTCAATGAGATGATGGATCTGAAAATGTCTTATGTACCATGGCGCAAAGGAGAGGGACTCCTGACATGTGACAAGCACAGGGAGAGAGGAAGGATGGGGTCTGTAAATGGCCAGGTGGCAGCCCCACCCCTCCACACACACAAAAACCCACCGTGTCACCCACACTAGTGATTTTCTCAGGAGGGCCCCCGGCCTGGAATTAGCACTGCCAGGTGGGCAGGGAGGACTGCTGTCCCATTACAGGGGTGAGGAAACAGGCTGCGGATGGTCCCACAGGGAATAAGGAGCAGGGTCTAGCTCCCCACTGCAGGCAGTGAAGACTGAAGTTGCTCCCTGGGAAGAGGAAGGGAGGCATTGACTGGCACTCCGTGATTTAAATGAGAAGCCCAGGCTCAGCCCGGTGACTTGAGCTTCCTGATGTAGAAGGTGAAGGATGCAGAGCAGACAGAAGGCAGGAGGAAGAAGATAAGGAAGAGAGCAGCAAACTGGAGTCACTACAGGACACTAGCTGCTCCAGGCTGCTCTGTCCCACTCTAAGAGAAAAGAAAAAGTGGGAGAGGGGATCACAGATCATGCCCAGATTCCTCACCAGCATAGATGCTGCTATGGAAACATCCCTGATGGTCCAGGTTTGTGGTGGAAGAGATTGCAACGCTCTGCTTCCTGGAAATCTGTGTTTACAGCCAACACAGTTGCTACCCGAGACAGCCCCACCTGAAGACCCCAGAGCTATCCCAGCTTGCCAGCCTTCCCCTCCTCCTGTTATCACCCCATGCTGCTGAGAACCTACCTGGCAGGCTGCCCAGCCAAGGCCAGGGCCTAATCTCAAGTAAAACTGACATGTCCTCATGAGGGCTGAGGAACATCCTCTCTCCCCACAGAGCCTCACTCAGGTTCTCATCTACTTCCTTGGGGTCTGTCCCGCCTCCCTCAGGAGTTTGGAACCACATACTGTTCTGGAGGGGACCTCCCACTGCTGCCGAACCTGTCCTCCAGGATACCCACAAGTGTTCATCTCGGTCGTGGCTAATTAACTTATCATATGGTAGTGAACTACCTTCTGGGGCCCCAATATTTTATTTTTTAAAAATAAAATTAGTACCATTTTTTATTTTCTGAATGTACAGAAATATTTGTCTGATTATTATTTACATGCCCTTTGGGAAAACTTTATAAAATAAAAAAATATGAAGGAGAATCCTACCAGACAGAGATAATCACTTTAATTATTTTTCTATTCATATTTGCACATACAGGTATATATGGGATCATGCTCTGTATCTGTTGAGAGTGCATTAATCTGAAAGTTCAGTCACTTAAACAAAGACAGGTTCATTTTTCTTACGTAGTTAGAATATCTATGGTTCCTGGCTATGGTTCACTGGTTCAACAATTTTAGGCCCAGCATCTTTGTGAGTCTATTGGAATTTAGCTCATGGCTGTAAGACGGTTACTGCAGCTCCAACCACTACATGAGTTTACAAGGCCAGCAAAAGCAGTCACTTCCGTATTCTTATTAGAAAAGCAAGAACTTCAGAGGTGACCCCCAGAGGATTTCTCTTTAGGTCTGGAAATCTGTGTTTAGATTGGCCAGAACCTGATCTCATGACCATCCCTAGCAGTAGAGAATAGCAATGTCATGATTGACTTTGGATCAATCATAATTTATTGACTGAGAGTGCACATGTGGTCCCCCAAAGAAGATCAAGAAAGGAGGGAATTTGCAGTGTGTACTACAGTATGCATGCTGTTTTATAATCTGCTCTTTCTCTTCATTGCATATTTCAAACAGGATTCCATACTGAGAAATATAGATTCAGTCATTCATTTAACAACAAATTATTGAGAGTGTACTGTGTTCCAGGAACTTAACTTGTCATGGAGGACACAATAATGAACATAGTATACTCCTTGCCTCCATGGAGCTTAGCATCTAATGAGGGATACAGAAACTCATCAAAGAGGTTCACAAAGAAATGGAAAATTACGACTGTAATTTGTGCTGAAAAGGTGGGAGGTGTGTGGTGTGTGAGAGCAGGGACAGGAGATTTGACTCAATCAGGAGGGAGTGTGTTCTGAATGGCCATAAGCCATCCCCTTGCCTAGCTGTAGCACAATTATTTAGCCAATCTCTTATTGCTGGACATTTACATTCTTCCCACATCTTACCTACTATCATCAATGCAACAATAAATATCCTTCTCTAAGTATCACTTGGCACACTTGTCTGATTATTTCCTCAGTATAAATTCCTAGGGTAAAGCCAGGCACCATGGTTCATGCCAGTAATCACAGCTACTCAGGAGGCCAAAGTGGGAGGATCACTCGTGGCCAGTAGTTCGTGGCCAGCCTGGGCAACATAGGGAAGTCTTGACTCAAAAAAAAAAAAATCCTAGAAGAAATGAACAATTCTTAGATGTCGAATTGCCAGATCAAGGGGTGTACCATCACCATCCCCATACTCACCATCACTATCCTCATTATCATCATCAGTCTCACCCTCACCATTCTCACCAGCATCAGCAGCAGCATCCCCACCATAACTATCAGTATCATCACCACCTTCACTATCACCATCCTCACCATCACCATCATCATCACCACCACCATTTTCACCACCACCATCCTGACCATCACCATCATTATCACCTCATCACCACCATCTTTACCATCACCATCACCATGCTCACCTTCACCATTCTCACCATCATCATCATCATCCTCAGCATAACTATCACTATCATTATCACCACCTTCACCATCACCGTCATCATCATCATCATCACAACCACAATTATGAAAATCTTGGAGGAAAAGGAAGGAGGTAGCATATTAAAATACAGGTACTTTGATGAGGAAGAACAGGCAGAGTTGAAGCTGGGGAGGGGATATCAAACAATGGAGACCCCCAGAACATAAAACTAAGAAGCTCAGGCTTTGCCCAGAATCAGAGGCATCCTTGAAGGTTTATCAGCAGGAGAGTATGCAGTCAGATTTGTGTTTAGGCAGAACATTGAGCAATCCTCAGAAGGAAGAAGCAGAGGGAGGGAAGCCCACAGAGGAGACAGAACCTTCAACACCAGCCAGGGTCCTGGTCCTGGGTCCAGCAGAAATGAGGAACGGGAGGCTCATGGGTAAAGGCTGAAGCCAGGCAGGGAAAGGCCTCACTCTCCCTGCCACTCCTTTCCCTGCTCCCCACTTTCCTGTCCCGTCTTTGCTAATAGGCTCAGCATCTCCAACTGCACCCACCCACTAGGTTTGCCCCAATTCCTCCTCCTCTCTCATGCCTGAGGCCCAGGTGGCTTCCAGAGCTGACCAGGTCTACTTTAGAATTTTAGTGAGATAATCTGGGTAGAAGTGCTGGTGCCCTGCCAGCCACAGCAGGTATTCCTCATATGGTAAACTGGAACCGTCTTCTCAGTTCCTACAGCCTTGGGTTCAAATTCTGCCTAATCCAGATGACCACCATCTCTCATCTGAGCAGAGAAGCCTCCCACTGGTCTCGCTGCCCCAGACCATCCTCTTTCCAGATATCAGCCTGATAATTTTCTCAAACTGCAAACCTGGTCATGTCCCTCCCTTGTCCCTTTGACTAAAGGGTAAGATCCAAATCCCTTAGCATAACATCCCAGGCACTGAGGAGCTGAGGCCCGTCCATTTCCACCCTGACTTTTCCCCTCCCCCTCTAGTAGCATTGCTGACAGACTTGCCTTGTCCTTTCACCACATGGCTTCGATCCTGTTGCTCTTCTGCCTGGAGCGTCTTCCCACATCTTCTCTGCCTGGTGAATTTCTACTTAACCTACAAAGCCAAGCTCACCTTCTCTGTGAATCCTACTTCCTCCCCATCATGCCACAAATTGTCTCTCTCACTAGACCTCCAGCCCCTAATAATCAGGGACAGTTTAATTCATGTTGGAAATGGCTACTCCTCACTGAATTACCCTAATTAGCTAGTTATATTCCCTTATGTTTATGTTTCCCCATTTACTGACGCTTTCCACAAGCCAGGCACTGAGATCCAGGGCAGGACCCTGAGGGTAGGACAAGCGTGAGCACTGAAGGCTACAATGGCACAGGCACCAAGAGGCCATGTAGGATGCAGGAAGCCTCATGTCTAGAGTGTCTTCGTGGTTTACCATGCGCTTTCCTCCCTTCCCTTATTGGAGTCACCTTGTGCTGGTTTTGATAGCCTGTGTCCCTGAAACATGCACTCCCACACACACAAACAGACCCGCACCTATCCACATGTACCTGCCCATACATGCACAGACCTCCCTGTGTATCCCCCAGAGCCACAAATGCCAATCTTGAGAATGAAGATTTCGCAAGTGCTCTGTGCCAGGCATGATACCAGGTCCCTGACAACACAAGACCCTTCTGGTTTCTCCCACTCAGCAGTGCAAGGTTCGGGGTTGAGGAGCTCTACTTGCCAAGGTCACAGACGGGGAACATGAGGTAACAGCTATTTGAAAGTAAGCCTGTAGGTCACCAAAACATATGCCATCTGCACCCCACCAGACTGCCTCCTCCACAGCACATGAAGACATGAGTCTATCAACTCTGACTCATTAGTACCCAGCAATATTTCCTCCCCCACTTCGCTTCCCACTGCCACTCCAGTATCTCTGCCCACAGTCCCAGAGCCACCTCTGCTTAACGGAGAGGTCAGGACAGATGCTCCGTTCCACCCGATGCCATCTTCCAGGGTGCAGCCTCCTCACAGAGAAGAGGACTACCATGGCTAGTGGTGACATGGGTGGCTCTGGCCCCCAGGACTTCTCCCCGGGACCTCTGCTCAGGACATGGTACGGACAGAGGTGAGGTTACCATAAACTGCCTTGGAAATGACTACAAACCAGGTGAGACCATTCCAGCACCTAACACACTGACAGCCCAGGGTGGGCCCACAGAAGGGGAAGGGCTAGGAAGACTAGGGCCGCAGGAGTTCCCCCTCCCTGAGTCCTTGAGCACAGCCACCCAGGTGTAAAGGACAATATGGGGGTTCTGGGGATTCCCAAGCCTGGGCCCTAGAGGTGAGTTCTAGCAGGGCCCCCAGATATCCTCCCCATCCATCCCCTCATCCTGTGTCACATATTGTAAAAACAAGGAAACTGAGGCCTAGAGAGGGAAGGGGCTTGAGCAGTATCCCAGGCAGTTAGAGACAGAGCCCAAGTTAGAATCCATGTTTGTCTCATTTCTTCCCCCTAGGTCTGTCTCTGACTAGCTATGTGACCTTGGAAGAGTCACTCCACCTCTCTGGGCATTGAAGGTTTACAACTTCTGACATGTTCATTCCAGAGGGTTGTCAGGACCTGAAAGCACATCATCTAAATAAAACACTCTACGGTCTGCAAATATTCATATATCTCTTCTGTTGTCTGAACTCTGTAATACCCCTAGGAGGCTGTGAAAATTGGTGCTTGTGTCCTATTATGCAGATGAAAATACTGGACTCAGAAAGACAAAGATCACACAGAAAGTTTGGGACAGGGCTGGAACTAGCACCCAGGTCTCCCAAAGCAGAGTCCTTGCCATCACTAAGGCTAGGAATACATTAAGACTCCAAAATATGGAGAGTTGCTCAATGCATGCCACCAAGGTTAGAGCTGACCAACCCCAGAATGCTCAGCAGCTCTGAGACCCTGGAGTGGAGGACTCAAGGCAGAGGGTGATGCCTAAGTCACACACATCTGAGCTCCAATCCAAACTCTACGCAGCTGTGTGTCCCCACTTTATGAGGCTCAGCATTCTCTACTACAAAGTGAAACTATAGAAGGTACCGAAAAGCTCAGGATGAGGGGAGAACTGCACCCTGAATGCAGGACTGCCAGGCAGGTGGTAAGCACTCATTAGCTTTTGTTTCAAGCACACAAATCATATGTTATTTTTCATCATGTCTCCCCATGGTGTCTAGTCTATGGCTCCAGAACCAGGAGGCTTCTGATCAATCCTTATGCTAAATGATGGACAGATAGATGGATGGGTGGTTGGACAAATAAATGGATGGATGCATGGATTGATAGATTGATGCTGGGATGAATGGATGGATGAATAGATGGATGAATGGATAAATGAATGGACGGGTGCTCAGAAGAGAATACCGAATAAAACAGGGAGTCAAAATGAAAATAACAAGATGATTGAAGGATGGGGCTGATACATGGAAGAGAGGAACAAGATCCAGCCCTTCTGGCTCCACTCACACCCACAACCACATACCTTGGGGTAGCACTGGCACATGCCCCAGATTAAACCCCTGGACACCATGATGCTGCCACAGAGTTTCACTGAACTGGAGCCCATCATGACTCAGGAGGAATGTACTGAGAGCCAGGAGAAGACCCATACATTGAAGCTGAAGTAGAAGGTCTTCTCATCTGCCAAAGTCTCCTCATCTGCCATGGCTGCCGGTCAGGCCCTTGCCTGTGCACCCCTGAAAGAAGGGGCCCAAGCCATCCAGCATAAACATCCAGACAGGCTCACAGGAAGAGATGAAGCTCTTGGATCACTGCAAATCAAGGTTTAAAGTTAAAGGGAGGGCAAGAGCCCTTCAGCTCCAGGCCCATTCCCTGGACCCACCAGTGCAGCAGGGCTGGAGGCAGCATGCTTCGGTGGACCAGTGAACCCACTCCCCACCTTCTCTCCTTCCCTTGGGGCCCAGAAGGCCTGGAGTTCATGTGTGAATATGGGTGAGGAAGCATGCAAGGGAGGGACAAGGGGAGGTTACAAGGGCTGGCCCCAGGGAAGCCTGTGACAAAACCTTCTTTGCCTACTTTGGGGTTGAACTGAGTAAGCAGCTGATCCCACACCTTCTAGCCCCAGGAAGCAGGGTACAATTCTGCAGCCAAAATATGTTAAAATGCTGCCAGAGGATTTCAGGATCCCACTGCCAGACATTTCAGGATCCTAGATTTTAGACCCTTCAAGGATATGTGTCCATCTGGAATTCAGGCATGATGGCCCATATACAGTGGATGGTGATGATGCGCATGGCACCATTCTAAGCATGTTACAGCTATTAACTCACTTAAGGGACTCCATGAGGCACGTATTGCTACACCCACTATGCAGAGGACACTGAGCACAGACAAGTAACTTCCCCAAGATCACACAGCTGGAAATGGTAGAGAAGCTGGAACGTGAACCCAGAAGCTGTGCCCCCTGGCCACAGGGCAATGCTGCTTAACTGCAGCACAGGGTTATGGGTGAGAGCTCTGATGGCAAGGCAGGCTGCCTGTGCTTAGATCCTGGCTCCTGTACTGTGGGGCAGCGTGGTCTTGATAACATTACCTGCCTGTGTCTGTTTCCTCCTATGTAAAATGGGGATAATAACAGTACCTCCCAGCATTGGCGCTATCTCCAGGCCTAGGTGTCCTGGATCCTTCTGCCCCCTTTACACTCTGTGCAGCATCCAGACCTGCTTGTAATGAGGTCCTCTACTCCCCCACCAAAGCTCTGGTGAATTAATGTCCCTGTGGGGTATAAGTGACTGACAGTAACTTCCTCAATCTCCTTGCAGCCTAATCTAAGAAGATGCCTTCTAAACAATAGCATTCTAATGTGAAATTTTAGTCCTGTGAAAGGCTAATGGGAGAAATCAGATTCCTTTACAAGATTACAGAAGAAACAGGACAATGAGTATCTCTAAAAGAGAATGTTCACTTGGAGTGTCGATGGGGTTAGGTGGCCGATACAGGATGAAAGGCTTTCATTTGGCTCCCTGACTTGCTGGGTTTGGGGTTTTCCCTGGTCCTGGTCATTACCTCTTTCCTCCTGCCCAGCATGTGCTCACACCAGCCCCTCTGCCTCATAGTCCTTCCCACAGGCCCTTTTTCTTATATTTTTTTAGAGAAGGTAAGCTCAGAGGAACTTTTAATATACCAATCGATGTTAATAAAACACAAGTCAAAGACAAGTGTCAACATGCTTTCAACCAACATTAATGAGGAAACAAGACACAAATTCTTTTTCTTTTTTTATTTTATTTTATTTTTGAGATGGAATCTCGCCCTGTCGCCCAAGCTTGAGTGCAGTGGCGTGATCTCCACTCACCACAAGCTCCTCCTCCTGGGTTCACGCCATTCTCCTGCCTCAGACTCCTGAGTAGCGGGGACTACAGGCGCCTGCAACAACGCCTGGCTAATTTTTTGTATTATAGTAGAGATGGGGTTTCACCGTGTTAGCCAGGATGGTCTCGATCTCCTGAACTCGTGATATGCCCGCCTCAGCCTCCTAAAGTGCTGGGATTACAGGTTGAGCCACTGAGCCTGGCCCTGTTTGTTCTTTTACATTAACTTTACAATATATTTGCCATGTTCTAAAAATGAATTTAATTGGAATTTTATTGAAATTATATGAGACATGATTTAGTCCAAGATGAACACACAACATTATTATTACTCTTTCCATCCAGCTATGGCATATTTCTTTGTTTTCTCTAGTTGTCCTTTGTATCGCTCAATAAAATTTGTGGCTCTGGTATATTTCATAATAATCATACATTATATTTCATTATTTCTAATTATTATAATGGATTGCATATACATTTACTATGTACCACATATTATGCAATATATTCATTATCTCAATTCATAAAACAATCATGTGATTTAGTTGGTGTTATTACTAGATTACCATTGTACAAGTAAAGAAAATAAAGACAAAAGAAAAAAGAAAAGAGACTCAGCAAATCCAAACCAATAAAGACTTAATTAGAATTGTTGGGCATATAACAAAAATTTAATACAACTCAATGAAAGCAAAAAACATTTTAAAAAATGACCAGGCAGATTTGAGAAGGAGCCAAATAGAAATTCCAGAAATAAAAACATAATTGTTGAAATTGAAGACAGATTCGACAGCAGATTACATATAATTGAAAAGGAAAATGTAAACTGGAAGACAGGCTGAAGAAATTGCTCAGAATGAAGCCCAAAGAAGTAAAAAAATAAGAAAAAAACAAGAGACATGGAAGACAAGAGTGACAAGATATTACAACTAACAGGATTTCATAAGTAAAATAATAAACTGTTAGAAAGGTTTTGTAAAAAAGATAATGGCTTGGAATTTTCTCAAAATGATGAAAAACTCCACCCTTCATATTCATGAAGCTCAAGTTGGACAGATTTAAAAGGAAAAAAAAAACACCTAAATATATCATCATAAAAATAACAGAACCCTGAAGAAAAGAATATATTGAAAACAACCGAGAGAAAATTCACATTATCCATGAAAGAATATGGATTTAGACCAAGAGCTAATGTCTTAAAAATGGAAGCAGGAAGACAATGTACTAAGAAAAAATAATCACATACGAAATTAGTATATCTTTTAATAAACAGGCCAAATATAAGACAATATTTAAGTCATAAAAACCAAACAAATACTGAATTTGCTAACTAAGAGACCTTCACTAAAGGAAATTCTAAGAGACGTTCTTCAGTAGAAGGGTGTTCCCCTAGATGGAAGACTTGAGTTGCGAGAATAGATAGTGAGTACGTAAGAAGACAAATATGTGAGTAAATATAAATGAACACTGACTATACAACATGTAGTTTCCAGTGGATTAGCAATAAGATGAAAAGGAAAATCATAAAACTTCTAAAGATAATATAGTAAAACTACCTTAATAGCCCCAGTGGGTTTTCATGTAAAACCTAAACAAATTCTGTTCACCAAAAAAACACTATCAGGATCAAAGACCCAACTATAAGGGGTAAAACTATAAAATTTGTAGAAGAAAACATAGGTATAAATCTGTGACCGTGAATTAGGCAATGGGTCTTAGATACAACACCAAATGCAAGAGTGACAAAAGGAAAAACAAACTGGACTTTAACAAAATTCAAAACTTTTGTACATCAAAGGATACCATCAGGAAAGTGAAAAGAACTCACAGAATGAGAGAAAATATCTATTAAGTCATACATCTGATGAGGAACTAATGTCCAGAATATATAAAGAATTCTTAGAATAACAAAAAGACAACACAATTAAATGAGCAAACAATCTAAATGAACATTTCTCTAAAAAGATATACAAATCACCAATCAGCACATGAAAAGATGCTCAACATCATTAGTCATTAAGGATATGCAAATGAAAACTACAACTAGATACCACTTCACATCTACAAGTATGGCTATATTTTTTTAAAAAAGGAAAATAACAGATGTTGGCAAGGAGGTAGGAAATAATGGAACCTCCGTACGCTGCTGGTAATAATATAAAATGGTACAGAGACTTTGGAACACAGTTTTGAAGTTTTTCAAAAATTTAAACATAGATTTACCATACGCCCACTCCTAGATACATAAAGAAAATTGTAAAAATACGTCCACACAAAAACGAGTACATGAATCTCATCACAGTACATTATTAATGATAGTCAAAAAATGAACACAACTCAAATATCCATCAACTAATAAATGGATAAACAAAACAGTATACTCATGCAATGGGATTCAGGCATATAAAGCAATGAAGTGCTGAGACAAGATACAACATGGATGAATCAGGACAACATGGTAAATAAATGAAGCCAAACACAAAAGGTCACATATGATTCTGTTTTTTCTGGTATTTGGCATATGCTAGTCCATAGAGACAGAGAATAGACTAGTGGTTGCCAGGGGCTGGGAAAAGGGGGAAATGGGGAGTAACTGCTAGTAGGTATGGAGTTTCTTTTTGAAATGATAAACATGTTCTAGAATTAGAGAGTTGTGATAGCTGTACAACTTTATGAATACATTAAAAGCACTTAAAGCGCCTACAGTCCCAGCTGCTCGGGAAGCTGTTGCAGGAGAATCGCTTGAACCTGGGAGGCAGAGGTTGCAGTGAGCCAACATCACACCACTGCACTCCAGCCTGGGTGACAGAGTGAGACTCCAAATCTGGAAAAAAAAAGGCACTTAGTGTACACTTAGAGTGGATACTGGGCTAAAAGTGAAGTGACAGGCCTCAAACTAGGCAAATCTTCTATACACATATCTGACAAGGGACTTCAGGAAATCCTAAAAGTTTCAATGATGAAATAGGAGACTATAGACAAAAGACTTGAACAATGCACATAAGGAACCCAAATAACTCATAAACAAATGAAAATAAGCTCAGCCTCCTTCCAAACCACACAAGACTATTTCATATCCAACTGAAAAAATGATATCAAGTAAAGGCAAGAATGTGCACAAATAAGTACCCACATAAGCTGCCAGTGGGAATATAAAATGGTGTTACTTCTTAGCAAATTTGGTATCATCTATTAAATAGTTCACTGTGCATAATCTTGGGCCAAGCACTGCCAATCCTGGGCACATGCCCTGGAAAATCTCTACATGTGAACCAAAAACCAGCACCATTGTATGGATTATCAAAAAAAAATCAAAAATAGAATGGAAAAACAAATTTCACTCTCTGCAATCATATAATCAGACAGTGCAGCAAGGAAAATGAATGAATGTAAGAAAACCACAATAGTAGCAAAAAACAGCAAGTCAGAATACGTAAGGCATGATTCCTTTTATGTAAAGTTTCAAAATATGGAAAACTCAAAATTATCTTCTGTAGGGAGAAAAACATACATTCTTAGAATATATTAGGCAAAGACTTTTACTTGTTTCTTTTTCAGTTTAAGGATCTGCTGTTCTACTTTTGCAATTTTTCAATCTACACGATCCATACTTTGTATTAACTCTTCGTTTGAAAGTTTTGAAGGTAAAGCATTTTGATCATCTCCACATGGTTGCCCCGAAATTGGAGAGGATGGAGCTTCATGTTTGCCTCCGAATGCTGGATCCTTTAGAGAATAAAACCAAGAAAAACAATTCATTTCTCACTAATAGAGTCCAGATTGCCTTAAATGAAACAGTCAGTTTTAAACCACAGCAGAGCCATGTGTAATATGTGTCTAATGAAACCTTTAGCAGTAACTTTCATATTTACATATATGCAAATTCTCACCTCACTTTTATAGTTTAGATATACCATGTACTATTTTGAAGAGCCTAAAAGCTATACAAAGTCAGGTGAGTTAGTGCTGATCAGCCTCTAGTGTAACAATACTGAAATTATAGAGAATTTATAGGTAAATAATGCAATCATGACGAAGATACCAACTTCTCAGCCATTTCCTTGCAATGGCTCTTCAAATGGTCTGAACCACTGGCTGGGAAATAGTATTATTCCAGGTAAAACCTGTGTGTCCACCCAACTTAACAACTATAACATGGCCAAGTGTTCCTATCAGAAGTTTTCAGGCTTTCCAAACCAAAACTGAGGTACACGAGTCAGAGAAGTGACCTAGGAACTTCAGCTGCTACTATCTCTGGGCCTACTTCCATAAAGCCCACACTACAGCATACGTAACATTTCCTTAGCCAAAAACATCCCACTGCACCTCCAAATCAGCAGAGCTGTAGCAGAATGAAAGCCCCTTCACCCAAAATCCACTCCAACACACATCCACACACACCCTATTAATTTCCAGTCTGCTGTAAAGATATAAGCAATATTATAAAACATAAAGTTTAGAGCACTAATTTTACTTAGACTATCAGAAACCTACAATGAGGGTAGTTCACAGGATTACAGAACCCTAAAATGTATTAAATAATGATTAAGGAACTGTGAAAAGTCAATAGTTCTGAGCCAAGAATGCCTACAGGAGATAACTGGACAGTTGCTTCAAAACACCGTAGTACAGATATTTCAGCTAATATACACTGATGAAAAGCCTCATATTCTGTAATAGTATGCACTGAATCTGAGAGGCCTTCTGGGAAAATAAGATTATGGCTATACCCTAAAACCTGTACAGTTCTGTAAGGAAAGCACCAATAAAAGCAATAACAATTCTAATAGACTTAATAGAGTTAAAGCTCCAGTATCCTTTGCATCTGGCATACAATCAATCTTTGGCAGCTTTAAGCCCTAGAGTTTATGATTCCTCTCTTAAGATGTAAATCCGTGAGGTCATTGGCTTCCAAAATAAACCAGTATGTTTCATCTAAATAAAATATCAGTGGCCGGGCATGGTGGCTCATGCTTGTAATCCCAGCACTTTGGGATGCCAAGGCAGGTAGATCACAAGGTCAGGAGTTCGAGACCAGCCTCACCAACATGGTTAAACCCCGTCTCTACTAAAAAATACAAAAATTAGCTGGGTGTGGTAGCGGGCACTTGTAGTCCCAGCTACTCGGGAGGCTGAGGCAGGAGAATGGCTTGAACCCAGGAGGGAAACGTTGCAGTGAGCTGAGATTGCACTACTGCACTCCAGCATGGGTGACAGAGGGAGACTCCATCTCAAAAAAAAGAAAAAAAATCAGATTTGGCATATAACCATGTTTATCAACCTCTTTTTCTCCCCCTCCCTCCTTTATCAACGCTAAAAAAAATACAAGAAAATTTGTCTTCACATTGTCTTTTCAATGCTTGAATCTTCACTAACACTGTGAAAAGCACGACAGTTCTTAAATTCACTAAACCAGCTACTATTTGCACTAAATGAAAACTAAATGCAGAATGTTCAAATATTCTTAAGTCTTCATGTGTTGTGAAGCCTTTTTCTTTCATTATGAGACAGCATACTCCTGAGAACTTAGAAATGTTAATGCATAAAGAAAGATCTTTGGTGAACTACCAGGACTTTCATGATACATTAATGTCATTCTCCCACTATATGCATATGAGCAAATTTGTGTTACAGAAACATATATAACAGAAAAAGAGATTACATTTTGAATCAGCAGACTTCAAAAGTGCTCCTCAGGTGATTCTGATGCATCTGATGCATCAGATGCAAAGATTAATATTCTGATGCAAAGAATTAATATTACAAATGAATATTTTCCACTGACTTCCTTTCTAAATATTAAATATTTAATAAGAAACCAAATCCTCAAGTGCCTACTTATATAACAGGAATAGGGTGGTGGATCAAAACAGACAAGATATCTCCCTTCATGAAGTTTACAATCTTGGGTTGAAACAGCAAGATACCAATCCTGAAGAAAAAAGAGTTAGATTCTTACCTCATATCTTACATTAAAAAAGCCAAGTAATAGCAAACATTTATAAGAGGCTTATTAGCAAATCACAAAAAGCCTCAAATTAAAAAAAAAAAAGATTCACATTATCGTGGGTTCAGGAAAGCCAAAAGCAAAAGATAAAAAATACATTAGTTTTTAAAAAAGAAAAATTGATGGATAAAATAAAAAACAGTCTTCTGCTGGGCATGATGGCTCACACCTGTAATCCCAGCAGTTTGGGAGGCCGAGGCAGGCAGATCACTTGAGGTGAGGAGTTCGAGACCAGCCTGGGCAATATGGTAAAACCCCATCTCTACTAAAAGTACAAAAATCAGCCAGGTGTGCTGGTGCAAGCCTGTAATCCCAGCTACTTGGGAGGCTGAGGCAGGAGAATGGCTTGAACCCGGGAAGCGGAGGTTGTGGTGAGCAGAGATGGCACCACTGCACTCCAACCTGGGTGACAGAGGAAGACTCCATCTCAAAAACAACAACAACAACAACAACAACAAAAACCACACATGCAAAAACACAATCTTCTGCTTATCAAAACAGTAACAACAAATTAAAAAGGCAAATGATTAAATAGGAAAACCATTTGCCAAACATGCACTCTAACAACTCAATATAAAATAAACCAACAGAAAAATGGGCAACATATATGAAAAATCAATTTACAAAACAGGAAAAATAACCAATAAACAAATAAAAAAATGTTAAATTTTACTAACAAATAATACGTTTAATTTAAAAACAATCATTCATCAAATTAACAATCTTTTTGTTAAACGATAAACATGTGGTGTCAGCAAGGATACAGAAGAAGTGGGTACCTTTATTTTTTTTTATTTTTATTTTTTTGAGACGACATCTCACTCTTGTCCCCCAGGCTGGAGTGCAGTGGCACAATCTCAGCTCACTGCAACCTCTGCCTCCCAGGTTCAAGCGATTCTCTTGCCTCAGCCTCCTGAGTAGCTGGGATTACAGGCACCGGCCACCACACCTGGCTAATTTTTGTATTTTTAGTAGAGACGGGGTTTCACTATGTTGGCCAGGCTGGTCTCGAACTCCTGACCTCTGGTGATCTGCCTGCCTCAACCTCCCAAAGTGCTGGGATTACAGGCGTGAGCCACCATGCCCGGCCAAGAAGTGGGTACCTTTATACACTGTTGTCAGGAGTTAAGAACTGGCCCTACTCTTTTGCAGGACAATCTGGAAATACCCACTGAACCTTAAAAATCAACCTGGTCTGTAATTAATTATACTAAAAGAAATCTACCTTAAGGAAACAAGTAAGAATGCATACAGAAAAAACAAGCTAAATAATGTACGGGCCAGCTGCAGTGGCTCATGCCTGTAATCCCAGCACTTTGGGAGGCCAAGGTGTGCAGATCACCTGAGGTCAGGAGTTCGAGACCAGCCTGGCTAACATGGTGAAACCTCGTCTCCACTAAAAATACAAAAATTAGCTGAACTTGGTGGCATGCACCTGTAGTCCCAGCTATTTGGGAGCCTGAGGCAGGAGAATCGCTGGGAGGTATAGGTTGCAGTGAGCCAAGATCATGCCACTGCACTCCAGCCTGGGCAACAAAGTGAGACTCCATCTCAAAAAAAAAAAAAAAATGCATGTCACAACACCGTACTTCTGAACAAACAGGCAACCTAAATGTATGAAAATTGATTAAATAAATAACTTTATTTATTCATATGTGGAATACTAAGTAGCCACTAACAATACAGTTGTAAACTTATTGACACAAAAAGAAGTTAAGCACGTATTTAAGCAAAAGTAAAGTTAAACAGAATGTACAAAGTGAGCACATTAAAACATTCATACGGGCCGACTCTGGACACACTGCCTATGGGTTAGCCCTGTTACACAAGGAGCAGCAGCAAAAAAAAACAAAAAACAAAAAAAAAACCCATAAAATTAAATTAAACTAAAATTAAAATAATACACACACAAATAGGGAAGAATCAACATGAAAATGTTAATAACTTTTAACTGGTAAAACTGCAGGTAATTTTTTCTTTCAAGCTTATTTAATTCTTCTATAAATGATATACCTAGGCTTAACATTTAAAAAAAATCTAACAAATGTTAGTTCTTTTTAAATACTTACTTCTGGAGGTGGGCAGTTGGGAGAGAATGGGGAGAGGGAGATGGAAAGAGAAGTATTAGTTAGTAGTAGTAGTCATGGTTTACACTTTAGAGGAAAAAAAGCAGGACTAGAGTCAGGGGTCCTGGGTTAATTCCAGCTCAGGAGGTACTACCTAGGTCACTTAATTTTTCTGAACACCCAGTTTCTCAACTATAACATGGAAATGGGTCACACTACCACACAACACATCTCATTTTAATGAATGAGTTTTTAAGACACTTGTCTGCTAAAAAACGAAATTCTATAAATTACATTTTTGGTAATGTATTCAGCCATGGAAGATGACCTTTATTCACTATATTTTTAAATTTCTTTTTTTTAATGCAGCAGAACACTTCTTATAAACCCCACAGACTACTGTAGGATAAGGATATTTCAAATGATAAGGTGGGTCACAAGACACCTAGAAGCTTAGCTAATTTCTAGCTTATGGCAAAGAATATTTCCCCATCCAACTTACTATTTTGAAAAATTTCAAATTCACTTAAAAGTTGAAGGAACAGTATAATGGACACTCATTTATCCTTCATCTAGATTCACCAGTAGTTAACATTTTAACATATTTACTTTCTGTGTGTGTCTGTGTATGTTTATAAAACTTCATTTTGGCTGAACTATTTGAAAATAAATTGTAGATACATTTATTATCTTTTAAATTACTCTTCATTGCATGAAAACTCAAAGAAAATGTGTGGGTACTTATTTATCTGATATCAGGGAAGAAAGGGCAATCAGGCATAAAGGTTAACAAACATAGAAAAAATATTTGATGGCAGTAAAAACATTTTAAATTTCAGTATGCTTAAAAAAAAGAAAAATTGAAACAAAAAGACTCTGGGAAAAGTATTAGAATATGTTAGGCAGGCAGATCACTTGAGGCCAGGAGTTCGAGACCAGCCTGGCCAACATAGTGGAAACTTGTCCCTACTAAAAATACAAAAAATTAGCTGGGGCCGGGCACAGTGGCTCATGCCTGTAATCTCAGCACTTTGGGAAGCTGAGGTGGATGGATCACCTGAGGTCAGGAGTTCGAGACCAGCCTGACCAACATGGTGAAATCCCATCTCTACTAAAAATACAAAATTAGCCGGGCATAGTGGTGCATGCCTGTAATCCCAGCTACTTGGGAGGCTGAGGCAGGAGAATCACTTGAACCCAGGAGGCGGAGGTTGTGGTGAGCCAAGATCGCATCATTGCACTCCAGCCTGGGCAACAAGAGTGAAACTCTGTCTCAAAACAAAAAAACAAAAAAAGTAGCTGGGCATGGTAGTGCATGCCTGCAGCCCCAGCTACTCAGGGGGCTGAGGCATGAGAATTGCTTGAACCTGGGAGGTGGAGGTTGCTGTGGGCTGAGATCGTACCACTGCTCTCCAGCCTGAATGACAGAGCAAGAATGCCTCAAAAAAAAAAAAAAAAAAAAAACAAGTAGCCACAGGGGGGAAAATGTGTTTTATATATTAATGAGCAAAAATTAAGAATGACCTCAGGCTTCTAGTCAGAAACCATACAAACCAGAATACAATGATATGACATCTCTTAAAATACTGAAACTGTCAACTTAGAATTCTCTATCTAGTGAAAATAGTCTTCAGAAATAAAAACATTTTCAGGCAAATAAAAGCTGAGAGAATTAATTGCCAAAAGACCTAAACTGAGAGAAATGAAGTGCTTCAGGCAAAAACACAATAATATCAGAAGAAAACTTGAATACACAAAAAGAATGAAGTGATGATATATACACAGGCAATTAGAGAAGGAAAAAAAAATAAAGAGTAGAAATCAGTGAAATAGAAAAATAGTGAAAATGATTGAAACCAAAGCTAGTTCTTCAAAAATCTTTTAAACTGATAAACCTCTAGGCAGACTGATTAAAAAATAATAAAAACAAACATTATCAACATGATTAACAACATAGCAACATATCTCAAAGGCACTGAAATGATGAGGAAATATTGAGACAAATTATGTCAATAAATCTGATACCTTAAACAACAAAATATACCCAAACTGACTCAAGAAAAAATTATCTGAATTATAACTATTAAAGAAATTTAATTCATATTTAAATTCTTCCCAGAAAAAAAAATCTGGGACCAAGTTTCATTGATAAATTCTATCAAATATCTAAGGTTGAAAAAGTATCAATCCCAACCACCACGTGGTGGGCTGACACCTGAAATCCCAGCACTTTGGGAGGCTGAGGCGGGTAGATCACCTAAGGTCAGGAGTTCGAGACCAGCCTGGCCAACATGGCAAAACCGTACTAAAAGTACAAAAAATTTGTCAAGCATGGTGGTGGGCGCTTGTAATCTCAGCTACTTGGGAGGTTGAAGCAGGAGAATTGCTTGAACCACGAAGAAGAGGTTGCAGTGAGCCGAGATCACGCAATTGCCCACTCTAACCTGGGTGACAGAGTGAGACTCAAAGAAAGAAAGAGGAGAAAGAGGAGAGAGAGAGAAAGAAAGGAAGAAAGAAAAAGAAAAAAAAGAAAGAAAGCCAAGAAAGAAAGAGAAAGAAATAAAGAAAGAAAGAAAGAAAGAAAGAAAGAAAGAAAGAAAGAAAGAAAGAGAAAAGGCCAGGCGCAGTGGCTCATGCTTATAATCCCAATATTTTGGGAGGCTGAGTCGGGCAGATCTCTTGAGTTCAGAAGTTCGAGACCAGCCTAGCCAACATGGTGAAACCCCATCTCTACTGAAAATACAAAAATTAGCCAGGTGTGGTGGCACGCACCTGTAATCCCAACTACTCAGGAGGCTGAGGCAGTAGAATCACTTGAACCCGGGAGATGGAGGTTGCAGTGAGCTGAGATTGTACCACTGCACTCCAGCCTGGATGACAGAGCAAGACTCCATTTCAAAGAAAAGTACCAATCCTACACAAACCCCTTAAGAAAAGAAAACACAGGAGTAAAGAGCACTCTCCAAGCTAACATCATTCTTAATGCAGAAAGACTGAAACTCAACGCTTACCACACCACATATAAAATTTTAATTCAAAATAGGTAATTTACCTAAATGAAACACCTATAATTATAAAACTTAGAGAAGAAAACATAAGTGAAAATTGGTCGGGCGCGATGGCTCACACCTGTAATCCCAGCACTTTGGGAGGCCGAGGCAGGTGGATCACAAGGTCAGGAGATTGAGACCATCCTGGCTAACACAGTGAAAGCTCATCTCTACTAAAGATACAAAAAAAATTAGCTGGGCGTGGTGGTGGGCGCCTGTAGTCCCAGCTACTCGGGAGGCTGAGGCAGGAGAATGGTGTGAACCCAGGAGGCAGAGCTTGCAGTGAGCCGAGATTGCCCCACTACACTCCAGCCTGGGCAACAGAGTAAGATTTTGTCTCAAAAAAACAAAAACAAAAACAAAAACAAAACAAAACAAAAATAGAAAAAAAGAAAACGTAAGTGAAAATCTTAGTGACCTTGAATTTGGCAAAAACGTCTTAGGTTTGACACAAAAAGCACAAAAAATGAACAATAAAAATAGTACATCGGGGCTGGGTGTAGTGGCTCACACCTGTAATCCCAGCACTTTGGAAGGCTGAGGAGAGCGGATCACCTGAGGTCAGGAGTTCGAGACCAGCCTGGCCAACATGGTGAAACTCCATCTCTACTAAAAATACAAAAATTACCTGGGTGTGGTGGCACATGCCTGTAATTCCAGCTACTCAGGAGGCTGAGGTAGGAGAATTGCTTGAACCTGGGATGCAGAGGTTGCAGTGAGCTGAGATGGCACCATAGCACTCCAGACTAGGCGACAGAGCAAGACTCTGTCTCAAAAAATAAACTACATCGGACTTGATAAAAATAAAAAATGTATGCTCTCCAAAGGATACTGTTAAGAAAATGAGGCAAAACTTCTTTTAATAATCTAGATACAATATATAGATATATGTTTTCTAAGTAATTTTATCTATAATAATCAAAAACTGGAATAGGTGACTGGATAAACAAATTGTGGTATACCCATACTCAACAATAAAAAGGAATGAACTGAGACATGCCAGACATGGATAGATCACAGAAGTATTATGGGAAGCAAAAGAGGTCATAGACAAAAGAGTTCCCATGAAGCTCAGAATGTATACAATGTTTTATGATAGAAAGCAGATCAGTGGTTTCCTAGGAGCTGAGGTTAGTAGGAATTGGGGGAGGAGGACTGACACGGGTGGGTGCCAAGGAGGATGGGGTGCCAAGGAACGTGCTGGAGTGTTAGAAATGTTGTTCATCTTCATTTTGGTGATGGTTCTATGAGTTTATGAATTTGTCAAAATTTGTTACAATGTACACATATAATGAGTGCATTCTAATATAGATATATGTGTATATATATATATAAACTAAACTGCAAAGTTAATTTTGTTTCTTTTAAGATGGGGTTTCACTCTTGTTGCCCAGGCTGGAGTGCACCGGCACGATTTTGGCTCACTGCAACCTCTGCCTCCCGGGTTCAAGCGATTCTCCAGCCTCAGCATCCCAAGTAGCTGGGATTACAGGTGCCTGCCACGATGCCTGGCTAATTTTTTCGTATTTTTAGTAGAGACGGGGTTTCACAATGTTGGCCAGGCTGGTCTCAAACTCCTGACCTCAAGTGATCCACCTGCCTCAGCCTCCCAAAGTGCTGGGATTACAGGCGTGAACCACTGCGCCCGGCCTGATTTTATGAAAAAACCAGCAGCAACAATAATCCGGAAAATTGGTAATCAGATGAATAACACTGGGGTAGGGGGACAACACAAGCAAAATTCAACACCAATCATGACAGAAATTCTCAAACTAGGAACAGAAAGCAACCTCTTCAACCAAAAAAGGCATCAACAAAAATGTGCAACTAACGTTACACGTAATGGTAAAAGACTAAATGCCTCCCTACACAGGAACATCGTAGGAATGTCCATTCTAACTCTGTAATCATGACTACACTTCAAAGGAGTCCTCAGTAGGACCCCGTAGTACATTTTGATGACAAATCTGCTTTCTTAGTCTCTGAGATGACCGTTTTATCCCATCCTTTCCTATTTTTCTTTAAACCTCTTACATCCATATCTTTGGTCTACTCTGAGATGATTATTTCACCTCATACTTTATTTTTCACAAGGTAAATCAATCTCTTACAAACTCTTCCTATAATAAAGTCTTCCTTCCTATCTACCATCCCTTCCTTCCTTCCTACCTACTATGCAAATCTTCCTACCATCAATCTCTCAAGAAGACAGAGGTCTTTATCCTGGCCATCACTCAAGACATGCCAAGTTATCTAGCCAGCTTAAAACTCAACCACAACTTGGGAGTATAAATATAGGTCTTACCCTAGAAATTCTAGAGAATTGATAAGTTTTCTATTTATCATCAACTCCTGTCATCAAAACAAAGACAAGTTCAACTCCTGAAATCGGCATAAAGCCACAGTAAGAAGACAGAAATAATTAATTCCCAACCTTTGGTTCCTTGTCTTTGTAAATAGCTCTTGCCACTTAAAAAAAAAGGCAAATTTGGTGGTTTCTACCAACATGTGTATTAAATAGGAAAAGTAAAGAAAAACAAAAAAACGTGCAATTTGCATAGTATTTGTTCCTTACCTGCTGGTGGTGGGTGCTGGGAAACGTATACTTTACAGAGTGAGGAGGAGAACGACTTTGTTCTGTGCTGAATGCTCCTTGGTTGGGAGGATAAACTGAACTTGACATTATCAGTAAAGAAGTTCTCACCAGACTGTGAGATCAACGCCAATAAACAATCATGTTTCTAGGAAACCATCTAAACAGGATGGGAAAAAAATAGAATTAATAAGAACTAAAACACCAAGTGTACTTCTAATAAATTATAACTATAGATACATAAATAAAACCACAATTACCAGGAAAAGCTTCCTCTCAGGTATTTACTTAATAAAAGTTACCAAGGTTTGAAAACATTAATGCATCATTTCTTTTTATATTTAAAATAGGTTAATATGTGACAAATAATATAATTAGCTATATAAAGTAAAAACAGTATATAAAAACAGCATAATATCTGGCACATAGTAACTGCTCAGTAAATACCTTTCTATAAATGTCTAAGGCATATAAAGACAAAAATACATGGTTTTAAATTTGGGAGTTGATAAGTCAATTGTGAAAAGAATTCAAGAGTAGTTTTAAGGTAAGCATTTGTGCAGAGGAAGTATTGTCTTTATTAAATAATTGTGAAGCAAGGATGATAAAATACTAAGTTTTGTAATCACAGATGGTAGGTAGATGGATATTTGTTATCTTACTCTTTGCTTGCTTCTATGGAACTGAAATAGCAAATAAAGAAAAAAAAGGCCAGGAGCGGTGGCTCCTCCTGTAATCCCAGCACTCTGGGATGCTGAGGCGGGAAGATCACTTGAGGTCGGGAGTTCGAGGCCAGCCTGGCCAACATGGTGAAACTTCTTTTCTACTAAAAATACAAAAATTAACGGGGCATGGTGACATGCGCCAGTAATCCCAGCTACTTGGGAGGCTGAGGCAGGAGAATTGCTTGAGCCTGGGAGGCGGAGGTTGCAGTGAGCCGAGATCACACCATTGCACACCAGCTGGGGAAACAGAGTGAGACTTCATCTCAAAAAAAAAAAAAAAAGAAAGAAAGAAAAAGAAAGCCATCCTCATTATAAACTCTATTCCTACTTGTCCACAATTCTAGACTAATTTGATTTGTCTGTCTTTTCCTGTGCCAATGCCACACTTTTCAAATTACTCTAGTATTACGAGGTTTCATATCCAGCAGGGCAAGTTTCACCTCACTGTGCTTCGTTGTTGCTGCTACTTTCACCACCTTCCCAGCTATTCTAGAACATTTCCTCTTACACACAAGCATGAGAGTCAGCTTGTCAGGTCCCAGAGAAATTCTGGATGAGAAAACATAAATATTGAATTCACAGACTGACTAATGGGAGAACAGGTACCCCTATACTCCTGAGTATTCCCATTCTAAAACATGATTATCTACGTTTATGTTTCAGGATAACACAAATATTTATGTTATACATAATTCATATGGGTGTATTTTACATACATATGGTAGAGAATATTACATATGTGTAAAAATGTGTGCAATAATATATAATTTCTATCTTAATTATATATAAAACTCCCAAGACAAAAATTTTATATACACATATACACATGTGCATGTGTGTACATACACTCTTACTTTAAGACCGGAGTTCTATTATTACCTAATTGGGTGGTTTTAAAAAAATAGAATTTAAATATAAGATGAAAACTATATAATTGCATACATAAAAATATAACAGATATAATTTTATATATATAAAATCTTCACCCATTTAATACTTTATTAGTAAAGTTTTAATTTTGTTTCCATCATTTCAAGGTATTTGGGAAGAGGGCAAATTCAAAAAATAATTCAGTATGACAAATTGATCAATTTCCCAGTTTTTATCAATATATTCTTTATCCAGTTAGGTTTAGAAAATAAAATTTTCTAGGGAATTGTCATTCAATCTAACTTTAAAACAAAACTTATAGGCTGGCCACAGTGGCTCACACCTGTAATCCCAGCATTTTGGGAAGTCAAGATAGGAGGATCTCCTAAGGCCAGGTATTCAGGACCAGAATGGGCAATGAAGCCAGAACTATCTCTACAAGAAAATTAAAATAATAATAATAATTAGTTAGGCGGCCAGGTGCGGTGGCTCACACCTGTAATCCCAGCACTTTTGGAGGCCGAGGCGGGCGGATCGTGAGGTCACGAGATCGAGACCATCCTGGCTAACACGGTGAAACCCTGTCTCTATTAAAAATACGAAAAAGTAGCCGGGCGTGGTGGTGGGCACCTGTAGTCCCAGCTACTCGGGAGACTGAGGCAGGAGAATGGCATGAACCCAGGAGGTGGAGCTTGCAGTGAGCCGAGATCGGACCACTGCACTCCAGCCTGGGTGACAGAGCGAGACTCTGTCTCAAAAAAAAAAAAAAAGAAAAAGAAAAAATAATTAGTCAGGCATACAGTACACACCCATGGTCCCAGCTACCTGGGAGGCTGAGGCAGGAGGATCACTTGAGCCCAGGAGGTCAAGACTGCAGTGAGCCATGATTGTGCCACTGCACTCCAGCCTGAGTGATACAATGAAACTCTGACCCAAAAAATAAAAGAAAAAATGTATAGAAAGAACTTTAAGGCCAGGCGTGGTGGCTCACGCACTTTAGGAGGCCAACGTGGGCAGATCACGAGGTCAGAGTTCAAGGCCAGCCTGGTCAACATGGTGAAACCCAGTCTCTACTAAAGATACAAAAAATTAGCCGGGCATGGTGGCACACACCTGTAAACCCAGCTACTTGGGAGGCTGAGGCAGGAGAATCACTTGAAGCTGGGAGGCGGAGGTTGCAGTGAGGTGAGATGGCATCACTGCACTCCAGCCTGGGTGAGGGGCCCAGACTCCATCTCAAAAAAAAAAAAAAAAAAAAAGAACTTTAAAAACTGCATGTGGTACCATGTAATATATAAATATTTTAAATAAATATATCATCCTTTCTCCTGATGTCACATTTCCTGCTGTTGTGAAAGTTGACCAGGAGAAGAGTCAGAAGACTGACCAGCTGTCCCTCAGTCTGTTTTCTCCCTGTTCCCTTCCAAGGCCCGAGGCATGGAGGTCAGCAAATCTTAAGGATTGGAAGGTTGAGATTACCCAACTAACACTGATTTGACAGGTGAGAAATGTGAAGATCAGAGAAAGTCAATAATTCCTCCAATATCACAAAATTGTCTGTGGCAAAATGGGAAAAACTAATGTTTTCTGCAATGCTTTGCGGCTTTCTCAGCAGGTAGTGAACTAGGAGAAGGTGAGATGTTCCGTGAGACCACACATTAAAACCACCTGAGGAGCTTTCTCCTCATCTATACATCTGCAACTGCTCCAGGTGGAAGGGGAAAAGCCAACATGTGGCACTGTGGGGAGGGTTGATCTTTTTAGAAATAAACATTATATGCAGGACTTAAGAGTTTTTAAAAGTACCACAGAATACAAAGTGAAAAATCTCCTTGCCCTTCTCCTCCAGCTGCTACCCAGTTACCCTCCCAGAAGGCAACCAAAGTTACTAGTTTCTAGAGTGTCCTTTAGAAATATCCCACACATACATACAATCACACTTTTTCCCCTATGTAAATGGTGGCATACTAGAAACACACTGTTCTGTATCTTGCTTTTATTACTTAATACATCTCGGTTGGCCTGGTGCAGTGGCTCATGCCTGTAATCCCAGCACTTTGGGAGGCTGAGGAGGGTGGATCATGAGGTCAGGAGATCAAGATCATCCTGGCTAACACAGTGAAACACCGTCTCTATTAAAAATACAAAAAAGTTAGCCAGGCATGGTGGTGGGCGCCTGTAGTCCCAGCTACTCAAGACGCTGAGGTGGGGAGAAAGGCATGAACCCAGCTGGCAGAGCTTTCAGTGAGCCAAGATCACATCACCAACCTCCAGCCTGGGTGACAGAGCGAGACTCCGCCCCCCCCCAAAAAAAAATACATCTTGGCAATTATTCTCATGCATCTATGGTTCTTTCTATTGCTAAAGAGAATTTCACTACATGGGCCAGATGTGGTGGCTCACGCCTGTAATCCCAGCATTTTGGGAGGCTGAGGCGGGTGGATCATCTGAGGTCAAGAGTTCGAGACCAGCCTCACCAACATGCTGAAACCCCGTCTCTACTGAAAATACAAAAATTAGCCAGGCATGGTGGCACATGCCTGTAATCCCAGCTACTCGAGAGGCTGAGGAAGGAGAATCGCTTGAAACCAGGGGCAGAGGTTGCGGTGAGCTGAGGTCGTGCCATTGCACTCCAGCCTGGGCAACAAGAATGAAACTCTGTCCAAAAACAGAGTATTTCACTATATGAACGTTCATGCATTTTGTAAAAGTTTTCCAACTAATTCTGATCTGCTGCCCTAAAACATGCTTTAAGTGATCTATCTCTGTGCTCTCCTCCCAACTCAGACATCCCAAATAAATAAAGCTATAAGTGGAATGCAGAGGCAAAAAAAAAAAAGATTTTAACCCAGGGTCATCCCATTTTTTTCTAACAGTGGCCTAAATGATTAGAAACCCATGAGGTACAATTTTTTAATGCACATTTTTTAACTTTCAGCTATGGTGAGTCCTGAGTTCAACAATTACAAACAATGTCACTCAAAGTCACAAGTTAAGTGACTTCTCCATTTTTTCCCTCATTTCAGTAATCCTTCCTGTTGTCCTAGTTTTGTGGTATGACTTTAATGAAGTTCAACTTTATTATCTCAAAAAAAACAAAAAAAATTAGTTTTATTTAAAAGTACTATTCGCCCAATACAGAAGGAAAAAAAAAAAAAAACTAGCAAAGTCAGGAAATTAGCCCCTATCGGCATACAAATTTACAGGTCAAAGCAAGCCCTTCCTGTCCTCACATGAACTGCAGCCTGGAGACCACCACAACCTCCTTCCTCAAAACTTATCCACGAGATACACAGCAACAGTGCTCAGATCTTGTTTTTTAACCAGAATGTTTTCCTCAGAAGTCTTAAATGAAAGCTAAATGTACAAAAGGTACAATGGAGAAACATTCTGATCTAGTGAGAATGGGAGACCTAGGATTCATTTTTTCAGGCTCCCCCTGCCTTTCCCCATCCCTCCCTCCACCTTTCACTCCAGTCCTGGTTCACTAAGATACCTCGGCAGAATACTTTACATTTGAAACCCACTGAAATGAAAGAATCTAAAGTTCAGACTGAAGGGGAAGGGAGCACCTTAAGTGGCAGTATCAAATTATAATTTCAGTTCTTAGCACCAAAACTCATTAACTCAGGGTAGTTACATGGTTGACTCATGAACTAAAACAATTCTATGAATAGTTTAAGAAATCCGATCAAGATTTTATGAGCAACTTCCTCATCTCTTACATATCAACATATAATGTTTTAGGATGAGAATAATATAGTAATAATTATACATCACTGTCATAAAAGACAATAGCACTTCTAACTGAATTATACAGATAAACCCAGAACTAGCCTCTTACATATTGCAAACAGGTAATAAAATATTGCAAAATGAAATTGATCTATTTAAGTTCCTTTTTAAATCTTCTCATATTAAATAAACACACACATATTTACTCAACAGGAAAATCTTGCAACAAAATTTCAAATACTAACCTGCCAAAAAACAAGTAATTTTTCCTCTCAGCAGGAACTTCTGGCTTTTGGCCCACAACCTTTGCATAACCAAAATGTGTTATGCAAAGGTGTTCAAGGTGGCCTAAGCTACATTGGAAAAAAAGCTAAAAATGGCCGGGCACAGTGGCTCATGCCTGTTATCCCAGCACTTTGGGAGGCCAAGGCTGATGGATCACAAGGTCAGGAAATCAAGACCATCCTGGCCAACATGGTGAAACTCCATCTCTACTAAAATACAAAAAAAATTTAGCCAGACATGGTGGCACACACCTGTAGTCGCAGATACTCGGGAGGCTGAGGCAGGGGACTCACTTGAATCTGGGAAGTGGAGGTTGTAGTGAGCTGGCACCGTGCCACTGCACTCCAGCTTGACAACAGAGCAAGACTCCATCTCAAAAAAAAAAAAAAAAAAAGCTAAAAATATACTTCACAGTGGCAGGACCGCAGATGTCACTTCAGATGAGCAAGAATGAATCCACCAAGCATCACAATAGAGGTGAAGCCTACATTTCACCAAAGCAGAAAAAGGATCCTACAAAATATGCAATTTTTAACTGATAAAATAATGAAACCTCCTGATACAAAAGTATGGGATAGGGCAATGCCTCTATGACACTTAAATGCTAAAATATTAGTTATTAAACTGAAGCAAATTAGGTCACTCCAGTTCCCACAAAGCTGTCCAGCTCTAGACCAATTCTAAAAGTATGTTAGGTAAGACAAGGCTAAGAAGGACAACCACCCTGGGCATCCCGACACCTAAAATCCTCCAACCTGGGGATAATTTAAAGAAAGCCGACCTCCTAAACTTATTACAGAGTCCACCATCCAGGAGAGGAAAGACTAGAAATTATCTAAGTGAATTATGTAATTTGTACAAGACCAGAGTGGTGCTATACTGGAATGGATTTTCTCCTGTAAAATAACCTAAGCATTCTTCCCTTTGGGGGGAAAAAAGCTACTGCTTCTCAGCCTTTTGGTTAAGATCTAACCTGGGGGAATGCCACTGACAAGGTATTTTATTTGCAGCCTCTTTTGACATCATGACATCTTACTTAAAGACAGAGAAACAAATGGAAGCTAAGGAAAAAGCTTTTTAGTTAACCTATCCTACCTCTAATAAAGTATGATATTGAAAGAAATCTCTACTAAAAATACAAAAATATGGCTGGACATGGTGGCTCACATCTGTCATCCCAGCACTTTGGGAGGCTGAGGCTGGAGGATCACAAGGTCAAGAGTTCAAGACCAGCCTGACCAACATGTGAAACCCCATCACTACTAAAAACATGAAAATTAACCAGGTGTATGTAGTGGCGTGCACCTGTAATCCCAGCTACTTGGGAGGCTGGGGCAGGAGATTCGCTTGTACCCAGGAGGCAGAGGTTGCAGTGAGCAGAGATTGCACCACTGCACTCCAGCCTGGGCGACAGGGTGAGACTCCATCTCAAAAAAAAAAAAATACAAAAAATTAGCCTGGTGTGGTGGTGCACACCTGTAATCCCAGCTACTCAGGAAGCTGAGGCATGAGAATCACTTGAACCCGGGAGGCAGAGGTTGCAGTGAGCCGAAATCACACCCCTGCTCTACAGGCTGGATGACAGAGCAAGATTTCATCTCAAAATAAACAAACAAAAAAAGAACAAATATATTTCACAAACAAAATGGATGACTACATGCCAATTCCCTCCCTGATTAACACAAAAGAACAAAGAAATTGAGATAAGAAAAATTTTAATGTAGATATTTGGCCTGAATTAATAGATATAACAATATCTAAGTGGGTATTACTAAAAGTTACCATTTATTGAGCTCTAGACATATACTAGGCAGTGTGCTAAGACTTGATGTGTGCATGAGCTCACCTAAAAGTCTGGTTCTACTATTAGCTGTAAGTCTGTAGGGAAGCTACATAACTTCCTCAAGCTATGTTTTTCTAACTCAAAGACAGATACCTTAAAGATCATCTGCTGCTGCCTCTCCTTTGACCCACTAACAGAGACTACAGGTTATTAAGCAATATAAAACAAGGGTTATTAACAGACTCTGTTTTTTGCTGCATCCCCCTCAACACCCCCGAGCTCCACAAATCTTAAAGTCAAATGCTCTTAGCCTACTTTATTTTGGTACACACCTCAGAAACGAACAGAACTGTCAAACACCTGTGAAGGCAAAGATCAGCTCTGTTCTGCTCTACACGGCCTCTGCAGCAGCTAGCAGTACTTAGCTCTCAGTAGCACCCACTCCAACAGCAAGTTGTTTAGCTGTTCCTTACACACACGCACTCACATACGCACACTCACACACACACAGACTCTGAAGCTTCCCTGGCCTCTCCATCTAACTACCACCATCCTTACCTCTTGCTGCAAAAACTCCTAACTGGGCTTCCCACTTCAATACTTTCTCAACTCAAAAAGCCAAGTGTTCTTTTTAAACCTTAAATCAGAACACGCCACTCTTCTGCTTCAGATTCCCCAAGGATTTCCTACGCACTGCATATCTAAACTACTTACGATGACCCAAGGCCCTACTAGATTTGGCCTGCTTACTTTCCAGATTGCTCATTAGGCCCCAGCAACATGAGTTTCCTTTCAGTTTCTTCAGGAGCCCTTCTCTGCCAGGTCCTTCCTAGCTGGGCCTTTGTCCTTCTTTACTCTCTTCCAGGAACGCTGTTCCTGGCTCATTCAGGTGGCTAGCTCCTCCTCAAACTTAAGGTCTCAGTTCAAATGTCATCTCAGAAGAGTCTTTCCAACCACCCTACATATAAGGTAAGCTCCCACTAGTTACTCTCAATCGCATCACCCTTTTGGTTCATTTATAGGTTTATCATAATTTGAAATGGATTACGTACTTTATTTTATTGAGTATATTCTGTCTTCTCTCACTAGAATAAAAACTACCTGTTTGATTCTCTATAATATTTGTTGGATAAAATAAACAAACTCCCATTCATGGGTCTGATGTTTTTTAAAATAAATAAACAAGAAATATACAAGACTTATTTGTACAGGACTTATTTGAAGCAAAGTTTGAAAATCTACTGAGACACATAAAAATCTGTTAGAACACAGGACAGAAAGTACATAAAGATGTCAATTTCCCCAAACTTCACCTCCAATTTCAGTATTCCCAATCAATATTCAGTATTCAATAAAAATCTCTATGATTTCTTTTTGAATGTCACAGAATGATTCTAAAGTTCATCTAGAAGAACACATAGACCAGAATTGTCAAAGTCTGAAAAAAAAAGAGAAATGAACAGGTAATTAACCCCATCTGTATTAAAATTATAAAATGATAGTAATTTAAAGTGTATGGTAATACACAAGAGACCAAAATAACAAGACCAATCAGAAATAGTCCCAAACACATTTAGTAAATGACAAAAGCTGCAATTCTAATAGGGGGCAAAAAACAGATTATTCACTAAATGGTGCTGACACAACTAGCTAGATGGGGTAGAATTCACACACAATTTTATCCCCCAAAATATGTCTCACTTCTTATACCAGAAATAAATTCCAGACGGATCAAAGAATTAGAAGTTTTAAAAAGAGAAGGAAAAGGAAAATAAAGAAACCATTGAAGTATTAAATACAATCTGGGGACTTCTTTGTTTTAAAAATACAAAAACACATGCAGTTAAAAAGTCTTCCTCTCACTCATTCTTCCTACTATGACAACCAATGTTTCCAAATATCATATATCCTGTGATATACAAGCAAAAATGTATACATTGTTTTTCATCTTTAAAGCAAAGACACATAGAGGCATATAATGTTCCTCACTTTGTTTTTCTAGTTTAGTAGCTAGGTGAATATTTTACATTTTGGAGCAAGGAAAGTCTTAAGTAGAGCACAAAACACAAAAGTCACATAAATAAATTAATAACAGTCACAACTAACATTTATTATTTACTTACTTTGTGCCAGCCATTATGCCTAATGCTATTTACATTATCTCCATTGTACAAATAAGGAAATTAAGGTGTACAGAGGTTAAATAATGTGCCCAAGGTCCCACAGCAGCACAGTGCTGGGTTTGGATTTATCTGACTGCATAACATTACAAAAGAATAGCTAGGGGGATATGTGCACACGTACGAAAAAAGTGAATAAGGCCAGACGCATTGGCTCACACCTGTAATCCCAACACTTTGGGAGGCCCAGGTGGGCGGATCACCTGAAGTCAGGAGTTTCAGACCAGCCTGACCAACATGGAGAAACCCCATGTCTAGTAAAAATACAAAATTAGCCGAGCATGGTGGCGCAGGCCTGTAATCCCAGCTACTCAGGAGGCTGAGGCAGGAGAATCACTTGAACCCAGGAGGCAGAGGTTGAGGTGAGATGAAATCACACCATTGCACTCCAGCCTGGGCAACAAGAGCAAAACTCTGTCTCAGAAAAAAAAAAAAAAAGAAAGAAAAAAAAAGAAAAGAAAAAGAAAGAATTAAAAAAGTGAATATGTAGAGAACTTTTAACCTGTGAAAAACCAGTAACCCCAACAGAAAATAAACAAAGAACAAAAGTAGGCAATTTATAAAAGACATATGGCCAGGCGCAGTGACGCACCCTGTAATCCCAGCACTTCGGGAGGCTGAGGTGGGTGGATCACCTGAGGTCAGGAGTACAAGACCAGCCTGACTAACATGGTGAAATCCCATCTCTACTAAATACATAAATTAGCTGGGCGTGGTGGCAGATGCCTGTAATCCCAGCTACTTGGGAGGCTGAGGCAGGAGAATTGCTTGAACATGGGAGGCAGAGGTTGCAGTGAGCCGAGATCGTGCCACTGCACTCCAGCCTGGGCAACAAGAGCAAGTCTCTGTCTAAGAAAAAAAAAAAAAGGCCAGGTGCGGTGACTCAGGTCTGTAATCCCAGCACTTTGGGAGCCCAGGCAACAAGAGCAACACTCCATCTCAAAAAAAAAAAAAAAAAAAAAAAAAAAAAGAAAGAAATACAACTTTCTCCATATTAAAAAATGTTCAGCCTCAATAGTGATTGACAAAAGGCCATCACATTTTTTCAGTTCCTAAATTGTCAAAATGTTTTAAACTGTAATATCTAGTATTAGCCAGGGTATGGGGCATATGTGAATACTATTGGTAGCTTTACAAATTGGTACAACAACCTTTTGGAAGGAAAATGTATAAATATCTATCCATATCTACATTATTCACATCTTTTGATTTCAGCAACTCCACTTCTAGGAATCTATCCTACAAAGCTGTTTGTATAAAGTACACAAAATACATATACATATGTACATGTGCATAAATAGTCATACACACACACAATTGTTTACAGCTTTCTTTTTCTGGCAACAACAAAAAAATCCAGTGACCATAAGTTGATTAAGCAAATTATGGTATTTTCTTTTTTTGTTTGTTTGAAACAGAGTCTCACTCTGTCGCCCAGGCTGGAGTCCAGTGGCATGGCTCACTGCAACCTCCACCTCCCAGTTTCAAGTGATTCTCCTGCCTCAGCCTCCCAAGTAGCTGGGATTACAGGCACATGCCACCATGCCTGGCTATTTTTTGTATTTTTAGTAGAGATGGGGTTTCACCATGTTGGCCAGGCTGGTCTTGAACTCCTGACCTCCGGTGATCCAGCCAGCTCGGCCTCCCAAAGTACTGGGACAACAGGTGTGAGTCATCGTGACTGGCAAATTATGGTATTTTCATGTACTAGAAATGGGGTATTTAAGTTGCTGTTAATGATTGATAGAGGTAACTCTGAAATAAATAGACAAACTTGCAACAGTAGTATATAAAAGAATAGTATATTATGATCCCATAATTTAGAAAATTATACAAACACAGAAAAAAAAACTGGAAGAATATGCAGCAAACTCAGTAGATTACATCCAGGAATTTCAGTATATATAAAAAATAATGTATTACTTACAATTAGTGAAAGATCAAATTTTAAAATAGCATATCCTCCTCCTTCATGCATTAAAATGATTTTGTGTGAATATAAAGTAACTTCTTTCTCCCCCCTCAACAGAATGTATATACTCCTACATCAGGTATATTTATGTTCTGCATATTTTAGGTTATAACTCCTAGATAGCACGTTTTGATTTCATTCCAAATACCTCCAAATACATAAAAGTTATTGTAGTTAAAAATGAATTTAAAAATATTAAAAGTAATGCAAAGTTAAACATCTTTGAACAGAAACTCAAAGTCCTGATGATGACTACTTAAACATTTTCAAAATTACATTAATCTCCATGTTATTGCCAAGGGAAATGAATTGCCTAAAACAAATTACTCTGAATGTGAACAGTGTATGACAGTGATAATGGCAAGAAGAATGTCTGTCAGTTCAACCAAGTATGGGGTAAAGGGGCAATCTATAAGCATAAAGGTGACTCTCATCATAAATCTGAATCAAATTTTGCTAGAAAAATGTAACCTTTGCCAGGTGCTGTGGCTCACTCCTGTAATCCCAGCACTTTGGCAGGCCGAGGCAGGCAGATCACGAGGTCAGGAGATCGAGATCATCCTGGCTAACATGGTGAAACCCTGTCTCTACTAAAAATAGAAAAAATTAGTCGGGCATGGTGGTGGGCACCTGTAGTCCCAGCTACTCTGGAGGCTGAGGCAGGAGAATGGCGTGAACCTGGGAGGTGGAGCTTGCAGTAAGTCAAGACCATGTAACTGCACTCCAGCCTGGGTGAGAGCGAGACTCCGTCTCAGGAAAAAAAAAAAAAAAAAGAAAGAAAGAAAAGAAAAATGTAACCTCAATATATTTGGTTTTGATTATCAGTTTATTTATGTATAACAAATAAAAAAGACAGCCAAACAGCCCAAATTTTGTTCCTCGAGTACACTGTAATGGGGGAAAGAAATCCAAATAAGTTGGGAATCTTGACTTTTCCTTTACTCCTGACGAATCTACTTAAGAATTTAATTTTTTTAATATAAAACTAGTTGATATTATTCTTTCAAAGGGAGTCCTAAATTCTATTATAATCAACCAACTGTTCCATATTTCTTTTTTTTTTTTGAGATGGAGTCTCGCTCTGTCACCAGGTTGGAGTGCAGTGGCACAATCTCGGTTCACTGCAACCTCTGCCTCCCGGATTTAAGCGATTCTCCTGCCTCAGCCTCCTGAGTAGCTGGGACTACAGGCACGTGCCACCATGCACAGCTAGTTTTTTTTTTTTTTTTTTTTTTTTTTTTGTATTTTTAGTAGAGACGGGGTTTCACCATGTTGACCAGAATGGTCTTGATCTCTTGACCTCATGATCTGCCTGCCTGGGCCTCCCAAAGTGCTGGGATTACAGGCGTGAGCCACCATGCCGGCCAATCGTCCCATATTTCTAACTCCCAGTTTTTTCCTAGGATTGAAATTACTCCGAAATTCCCTGCATATATAAATTAAAACATTATTGCTTTCTAATATTATCTAGAACTATGAGTGCTGTCTAGGATGAACCAATCCCATATTTACTTTCTCTTCCTCCCCCAAATCCCAATAAACAGAACTTTTTTTTCTTTTTTAAAGAAATGCTTTTAACTGGGCTCAGTGGCCTGCACCTATAATCCCAGCACTTCAGGAGGCCAAGGTGGGAGGATCTCTTGAGCCCAGCAATCTGAGGTCAGCCTGGGTAACATAATGAGACTCTGTTTCTACAAAATAAAAGAAATTGACCAGGTGTGGTGGCACACACCTGTAGTCCCAGCTACTCAGGAGGACCGTGTGAGCCCAGGACTCGGAGGCTGCACTGAACCATGATCACACCGCCACACTCCAGCCCGGGCAACAGAGAGAGACCCTCTCTGTAAAAAAGAAAAAAAAAGAAACATTTTGATAATTTACTAATTACAGCTATGTTAGTCACTGACATTGGTGAAATTTCTACCTGTTTTTTAATTTCCAAAAACTATTCAGCATCAAACTGCCATATGTGTATCAGACATCTTCTACAGCATCCACACTAACTCTAGCTGCTAAGCTCTTTTATGCATTCAACAAGTATCTACTACTCCTTGGCACAGGGTGTTATTCTGGGAGTGAGAAAAGAGGAAAAAAAAATTTAAAAACTCAGATACAGACATGCCTACAAAGGGCTTATGGTCTAGAGGCAAAGGATCAAGAGTTTCCAGAAAAAGAAAATATACATTTTGGAGAAGAGGGAATAGGAGAGACACTTCCTGGATGACGTAATATGTGATCAAACCCTTGAAAAATAGGATAAATTTAGATGTAGTAGAGTTTGGAAGATAAGGGAGGAAAGGAGTATTCCAGAAACAAGCATAGTAAGAAGAAAGAACAAATAAAAAATTCTTCTTAATGCAACACAAAATAGCCCAAGTAGAATAAAGAAATATGCCATGCTTCAGTATTTATGTAAAGATTATCAGCTTAATGAAAATATGCCTTTTCCTTTACAATAAATTTTACAGGCTGGGCATGGTGGCTCATGCCTGTAATCCCAGCACTTTGGGAGGTCATGGTGGGAGGATTACTTGAGCCCAGAATTCAAGACCAGGCTGGGCAAAACAATCAGACCCCATCTCTATTTTTAAAAAGTTAAAATAAAACAAAATAAATTTTATAGCATGTATACATACAGAAAATATTACAAATGAGCTTTTTGATGTAAAAAAAATCATAAAGAATACAGTCGGCCAAGTGTGATGGCTCACACCTGTAATCCCAACACTTTGGGAGACCAAGGCGGGCAGATCACTTGAGGCCAGGAGCTCGAGATCAGCCTGGACAACATGACGAAACTCCGTCTCTAAAAATACAAAAATTATCCAGGCATGGTGGCATATGCCTGTAATCCCAGCTACTTGGGAGGCTGAGCACGAGAATTGCTTGAACCTGGGAAGTGGAGGTTGCAGTGAGCTGAGATTCTGCCACTGCACTCCAGCCTGGGCAACAGAGTGAGACTCTGTCAAAAAAAAATTCATGTTTGTGCTATTTATCTAAGCATTTATATTAATATAACAATTGAAATCCTTCATACTTAAAAAAAATCCAGAAGTCTGAAAGTAGGCAAAACAAACAACAGCTAATTTATAAAATAATTTAACCTATTTGTAGGCCAGGTGCAGTGGCTCATGCTTGTAATCCCAGCACTCTGGGAGGCCAAGGCGGGAGGATCACCTGAGGACAGGAGTTCGAGATTAGCCTGACCAATACGGAGAAACGCTGTCTCTACTAAAAAATGATTTTAACACTGTCTTTATTTCCCAAAGATCACTGAAGTCATGTTAAATAAAAGGCATTAGAGATTCTATTTTTCTGACAAAATATTTAAGAGACTTCCTTTTCTTCTAAGCCAAGTAGTTAGGGCTCCTTTATATATCCATCATATACACAACACTTCTAGACAGGAAAAGATCTAGCAGTTGTTAAGTTTTTCTTTCTCATTTTATGAACCCTAACACAACTTCCACAGACTATCTATGACATGAACTTTCTGACTTTTCCTGTACTTCCCTCTTTCATAATTAGTCATTCTACTTTAGGACAAAAATTTGCCATACAAGATCCTCTCATATAACATTTCTTTCCTTCACAACTTTTCTTACCATAAATACATCTTCATATCCACAACTTTCTTTAGATCTCTCTCCCTGACTGATTTCTGATGCCCACCCAAACCTAAAAGGTCAGATAACACAAAGCAAAACAGAGGAGAGCTTTAGATTTTGAGAGAGACCCGTCTGCCTGAAGTTCTTGGGGTTCCATGAGGACAACAGAGGTTTCTCCTAAAATGGGTTTTGTAGCACCTTCTGTTTTTCTTTAAGGAGTCCCAGGCTGTCAGAAATTACCTTAGGTCTTGTCATGTGGGCACTGAGTGGCAACAAGACAGACTAGGGAACAGTCGCAACATGACAGACAACTGAGCAGAAAAAGAAAAACTTACTGCAGTCCCCACTGTAAAGATGGATAAACTGAGGCACCATACAGTTTAAAAATTCATGTTACATAGAGTTGGGCTCCACAGCTCACTCTCTTAACCATCCTGTAATTTTGCTGAATCTATGCCCAGTCACTGAAGTACTTGTACGGTACCTCATGGCCCCCTTAGAGCTTAGAACCTGGGTTTCATTCTTGCTCTACAGCTATATAATTTAACAATTTTCCTCTGAATTTGTTGGATTCTAACCCTATATTTCTAAAATTTTATTAATATTACTGAATCTTAAAGGGAGCTGTGATGTCTTTAGTTTTTAGAAATATTAAATCTATCAACAAAGGACTATATGAAGTTAAACTGTATTCAAATTTCTACATGCTTTAAAACTTTGAGGCAACATATTAAGAAACACACCTAAGAAACTGCAACCAATCTACTCTGGACAAAAACTTAGATACTAACTCTTCAAAATAAGCTACCTAGTGGTATTTATACATATTCTTCCATATACCAACAGTATCTTACATGCTCATAGCCTTAAAAATAACTGAAGTGTCAGAATTACAGGCATTACACATTTCTGTTGGCTTGAAAAATGATAAAAAATGCATAAACTTCTAGAGTGATCAGTTTAATAAAAGAGTTCATACCAAAGGTAATAATACTAGGAATCAAAGAGGGCTAAACACTGCAGGTTCTTAAAGGTGAAAGTTAATAAAACCTTGTTTTTGGTTGTGAATGTTTGCCTTACAACATTATACACATGATTCTCCCCTCTTCTTTTTCCTCTTGCAAAGATGTGTTGATGAACCCTTTGTTCATGCAGATGATAATACTCTTGAAAATGGTGGCAGAAAAAAAATTAAGGGAATATGGTTCACTTAATCATCTCATAAATTAGAACTTATTACCCCTGTGACTCTTGCATAGCTCCAGAAAAAAGTGTGAGAGAGATGAAATGGCTGTTTGCTACCAATATTTTATGTGATGCTTCATTTTTTGATTCCTTGAATAACACAACACATTAGTCCATTTATGCCAGAGGTTGCAATTTTTTGAATTTTTGCATAAGTGAAAAATCAGACCTTTTCGATGACATTTAACAGTAGGATATAAGTAATTTCCACATGCTTAGCATGGAACACTAGGCATAAATGGGTTAACACAATTATGAAAGCATAACTATTCAAGTAACTAATTATACAACTCATTTTTTTTCCTCATCTCTAAAACATAGTAAGGGATCAGTTATTTAAAAAACACAACAGTGACAAGTATTTTATTTTTAACTCAGTTTTGGTGGTTAAGGCCATTGCTTGGCATAAGAATACAAAAACAGGAGGAGAAACAAGAATACAAACATGAAATAGAAGCAGTAGCAAAAGAAAATGAAGAGGAACAAGAAAATGAGAAGAAAACACAATGGAAGAAAGGAAAAAGAACAGGTGTGGGAATTAGAAGGCCTATCATATAATACTTTTTATCCCCTCCTCGATTCATAAAATTTGAGTAACTCCAAGAGTATCACAACAAAAAACAAGCAAAAGGATACACAAATAGTCACTAAATTTTGTTAAGAATGAGATAATGCTGCCACTCATGCCTAGCTCAGGCACCGGCAGGAGGAGGGCACACTCCAGAGATTGCAGGAGAAGGGGGAGGACTCCTCTTTGCCCTAGGTGTACCACCACCACTGCCACCGAGACCTTCGTTACAGCACCCACAGGTTCCTCCCCACCCCAGAACGGGATGGGCCCTGCAGTGCTCCTACTCCCCCTTCCCGGCCCCCAGACTTCCTACTGCTACCACCACTAGCACCAATGCCAATACAACCAGTCACCCTCAATGTACCAGCCCACTCTACCAGGCTCCTACCACCAAGCCCCCGTGGGTGCCCTCCTACCGCTCCATTCTAGCTATGGTCTCCATCTCCACCACCAACTGCATGAGGCAAGCTGCAGAGCCACGGCATCTGCTCAACCATACCACAGGCGACTCCTCCTTCTCCTTCTTCAGAGTGGCTTGGAGCAGCTGGGCAGGCAAAGCCAGAAAAGCCCAAAACAGGACTCAGGGATTGGAACCATTAGAGCCTCACCTCGTTAGGCTGGTGACTGGGTGTCAGGGATCAGTTTCATTGAAGGCACTCACACCCACCTTCCAAAGTCCAACCTCTCCTTCTGGCAAAAGCTGGCCAGGAACTGGGGCCTGGGGTGGGAGTGAGTGCCTTCACTGAAACAGGCCCTTGGCCAAGTACACCTGGCCAGGAATTGCTGGGCCCACCAAGGCTGTCCTCCTCCGGGAGCCTGCGTAGGAGAAACTAAGACCCAGCCAGCCCTCCCCACCAAAGGGCTGGTTCCCATTCCTGACACCTCCACCAACAGTGCCCTGTTTCCCACTTCCCCCATGGTGCCTACTACTCCCTGCCCGGTAGTCCCACGTGATCTTCGCAACACAAAGCATGAGGGCAGGCTGGGAAACCACAGTGGGTGTGGAGGCCCTACCATGCAATCCAGCTCGAGCAGAAGAAAATCGCCTTCTAGAGTCTGGAGTCTGAGAAGAAGAAAACGATACCTTACTTGGAAGCTACGAGAAGAAGGAAGCCACTGCTGTCACTGCTGCTGCCACCTCACCAGCTCGCCAATGCCACTGGCAGTGTAGCCCCCATGGCACCCCTAATCTGCCCCCTGCCACTAGCAGTGTAGCTCCTGGATAACACATCCAACACACCCTACAGTTTCAGGCAATGTAACCCCAATACCCCCTGACAAAAACACTCCCCCCACACCTCAGGGAGCATACCACCCAATAGTGCCCACAATCTGACCCAGCCACAGGCAGTTCAGCTCCTAATGGTGCACCCCTCCAGTCACAGTGTAGCACCCAACAACGCCCCTAAACCACCCCCCCGCCAGCATTGTAGCCCTGGATAACTCCACCCAACCCACTCCCTGCTGCGGGCAGTGCAGCAGAAAATAGCGCCCCTAATCCTTCCCCAGCCACCAGCAATACAAGCTATTGTACACAATCTGCCTCCCCCCACCACCCCTGCCACCACAGGCAGTATAGCCCCAGATAGCCAGGCAACCTGCCCCACCACCAGCAATGCAACCCCGGAGAGTGTCCCCAACCAGACCACTGCCACAGGCATGGTAGCCTCTAGCAGTGAACCCCAATAGGACACCCAACCCTTGCCCCCAGAGGCATACAGGGCAGGCCCGGAAAAACTCACCTACCCCATCACATTTCTACCACTGTGGCTGAGCTGCAGTCTCCGATGTCACCACCAACCACAGCGAGGCGAGCCATGGTGGCACAGGTTCCAGCCTCCAGCATGTGGCAGTGCCTCTTCCTTCTAGTCCTCCAGCCCAGCAGGAGAAGCTCCTGCTGCCGAATGCTCTCCTACTGCTCTATCGCCACCACCAACTGCAGCGAGGTAGTGACCCAGGTTCCAGGCTCCATCCATCCTCCACCCTCCAGCAGGCGGAAGATTGCGGCCTCTTCCAGTCCTCTAAGCTGGGCACAGAGTTGCTCCTCCACTCGACACAGAAGAGTCTGAAATGACCTGACGCCACCTCAGCATCCTTTATATATGAGGTTATGCAAATGCAGTTCCTGGACTGCATGTCTTGATTGGATGAGAAAAAAACCTCTAGGCCTACTCTGATTGGACTTTATTTTCATGCTGTGATTGGTTGTGTTAAGACTTGCTCTCATCCAATCAGAACATGATCATAAAGTCCAATCAGAGTAAGCCTGGAGGTTTTTTTCTCATCCAATCAAGACATGCAGTCCAGGAACCTCCATGGGCACTACCGCAGTACATAAATGATGCTGAAGTGCGATCACTTTTTTTCAGGTTCCTGTATCTTCATGTCGAGTTGCTCATTGCCCAACGTAGAGGACTAGGAATCAGGATTCGGTGGCTATATGCTGGAGGCTGGAGCCGCGGGAGCGCGGCTCGCCTCATTGCAGTTGTTGGCAGTGACGGAGAGATAGCATCGCGGCTGGAGAGGTAGGAGAAGGAAAACAGTTTTGGGATAGATAGAGGGGAGCAAAGAGGGTAGTTAGGGCCAAAGGGAAAAAAGGATAGCTTAGCCAGAGAAGGAATTGAAAAAAGATGGTGGTGAAAAGATGGTGGGGAAATGGTTTTTGCGTAGATGGAGGTGTAATAACAGGGTGGGGAGTGGGAGGGAAGGAAGGTTTTGCAGAAAGACGGTGGGTAAAAAGTTTAAGGGTACATGGAGGGGGAAAAGAGGGTGGCAAGTGGGCGGAGGAAAGAGAGGGAGGTGATGGGGGAAAACGGGTGGAGCAGTAGGGAGAGAAGGTTTTGTGAAAAGACAGTGTGGAGAAAATGCAGTGGGGGAGAAAAGTTTTTGGGTTGAGCAAAAGAGGGTAGCAAGTGGGAGAAGGAAAAAGAGGGTAGCCAGCAGGAGGAAGACAAGGTTTTGTGAAAAGACAGTGGCAGAAAAGAAAGACAGTGAAGAAAGAAAAGACGGTGGGTGAAAAGTGTTTCGATAGATGGAGGGAGGAAAGAGGGTGGCGAGAGGTAGCAGGGATGGCGGTTGGGAAAACAACAGAAAAATAGTTTGGGGTAGATGGAGGGGAAAAAAGAGGGTGGCAAGCAGGGTAGGGGAAAAAACAGCACTAGTGGTAAAGGGGGGAGACTTTGAAAAGGTGGTGGGGAAAGTTTTGGTGTGTAGATGGAGGGGGAAAGAGAGAGGTGAATAGGCGTGGGGAGAAGGCTTTGTGAAAAGACGGGGGAAATGTTTTTGGGTAGATGGAGAAGGGAAAGAGAATGGCAAGGAGGAACGGGGAGAAAGACGATGAAGAAAACAGTTTTTGGTTGGATGAAGCGGGGAAAGAGGGTAGTGAGCAGCAGGAGTGGAGAGAAGGTTTTGGGAAAAGACGGGGGAAAATGTTTTTGCTTAGATAAAGGAGCAAAAGAGATGGTTGAGAGAGCAAAAGAGATGGATGAGAGCGGGATGGGGAAAAAGAGGCTGGCCAGGGATAAGGGGAAAAGACAGTGGGAAGAAACTGGGGAAAGGGTTTGGGTAGATGCATGGGGAAAAGGGTGTTGAGCAGGAGAGTAGAGGCAGCTTTGTGAAATGAGGGTGGGCAAAAAATGATGAAGAAGTTTGGGGGCAGATGGTGAAAGAAAAAGAGTGGTGAGAGGGAGGGGGCCAAAGGCCGCCGGGAAAAGAAGGTAGGGAAATAATGGTGGGGGACAAAGGTTTGGGGTATATTTCTTTAATAAGATCATTTGTATGTTTGCTTTTGAGTAGTTTGAGTTCTTTATATATTTTGTGTATGAACCCCTTGCCTGATGCATGGTTTGCAAATACTTGCTTCCATTATCTGGGTTGTTTCATTTTTATTAAATTTTAATTTAATTTATTTTTTTTTAGACAGAGTCTCGGTCTGTCACCCAGGTTGGTGTGCAGTGGCACGATCTCCGCTCACTGCAAGCTCTGCCTCCCGGGTTCACGCCATTTTCCTGCCTCGGCCTCCCGAGTAGCTGGGACTACAGGCGCCTGCCACCACGCCTGGACACTTTTTTTGTATTTTTAGTAGAGACGGGGTTTCACCATGTTAGCCAGGGTGGTCTTGATCTCCTGGCCTCATGATCGGCGCGCCTCAGCCTCCCAAAGTGCTGGGTGTACAGGCGTGAGCCACCGCGCCCGGCCTGTTTTTTCATTCTACTGATTGCTTCCTCTGCTTTGCAGAAGCTTTTTTTTTTTTGAGACGGAGTCTCGCTCTGTCGCCCAGGCTGGAATGCAGTGGCATGGTCTCAGCTCACTGCAAGCTCCGAATCCCGGGTTCACGCCATTCTCCTGCGTCAGCCTCCCGAGTAACTGGGACTGCAGGCACAGGCTACCAAGCCCAGGTAATTTTTTGTATTTTTAGTAGAGACGGGGTTTCACCGTGTTAGCCAGGATGGTCTCAATCTCCTGAACTCGTGATCCGCCTGCCTCGGCCTCAAAAAGTGCTGGGATTACAGGCATCAGCCACTGAGCCCGGACTGGAAACGTAACTTTATTTTTTAGTGTTGTATTTGTATATATACTTTAATAGCCCTGAGTTTTAATAAAGTTGCTTTTAAAATATGTATCTTATTTTTCAGAAATATACCCTAAGGCATGTGATTAGTTGGGTGGCATATTTAGTTTTTACAATTGAAGGATTGTCATTCCTTTGTACAAAAAAAAAAAAAGTGAATTTTTGTCATATACTAGAGGAAAGAAGGCAGATACTAAATAATAAATATTGTATGCTTTCATGTAAATAAAATTTGAAATTATATAAAGACAGAATGCATTAAACCTTTCTGGGGTTGAAGTGGGGAATTCATTGGTAAAGGTCGTACAATAAATGTGTAGATGAAGGGAATATTCTATATTTGATTGTGTAGGTGGTTAACTAGCTTCATAAATTTGTAAAACTGAACTGGACTAAAATGTGTGCCTTATACGCAGATTATTCTATAAAATTGATTAAAACTAGTTAGAGAATCAGTCAAGGGGAAAAGAAAGAAAAGCCACGTGAAAAAATAATGAAAATGCACTAGAATTATCTTTGATGACATTAAATATAGCCTGGTCTTCTCTTAATTGTTTTTAAAATTTATGTAGGTTTCTCAATCCTTTGATATTTTTTCTTCAACACATCTTACATTCTCATATATGTTAATGTATGGCTACATAAGGGAGGGCTCTCTTACAGTTGGACTGGAATAGCTTAATATTTATATCTAGAAATGCATTGGAAGCATAACACTGACCCGTGAGCAAGATGAAAATGGCATGTGCTAGTTAGTGATTCATAATATATTGCTTTAAGTTTAGTGCCAACTGGTCTACATCGTTGAGAATGTTTAGTTTGATGGTTTACACAACTTGGCTTAAGTATATGACCAACAATGTATGAGGGAGCCTGCTATAAAGACTTTTCTGCACTTCCCTTAAATTATTATAGTAAGCTCAAATCTTGAAGGTTTATAATATACAGATAAAATGTGTCTGTGAGACTGAGAAAGGATCTTTAGGGAGAAAGGCTCTGTTCCCGAAAGACAGACTTTCAATGATTTCCTGCATTTTATTTCTGTCGTACTTTACCTTTATTAAACACTAATAAGGTGGTTCTTATAGGGCCTCATAGGCCTTTTTAGTTTTCCAACCTATTCATACTTGGTGCAAACCTAGTAATTTTTTGCGTGATAGTATTGGAATTTTATTCTGAGGCTAGGCTTCACACTGTAAAAACAGCTTTTTGGAATTGTATCATTTCCAGTCTTTCCATCGTGTTCCACTGTCGCAGCTACACACCAGATATGAAGACTACAAGCAACCTCAAAAGGTAACACATCTATAGTAGATGCTTTTACCTCTTGTAAAATCTAAGGAAAATATACTAAAAATGAAGGCATCAGTAAAATAGTATCATTTTAGGTTGACCTCCAGTATTTCAACATCATTCTAGCTTCAGAGCAATACATTTGCAAGGGGAAATGGGGTACTTTTGTGGTTTTTTACACCTGTTATTTCAGTTGAAATTGAAAAAAACTAATTTGAACTATAACCATAAAAAGGTTTTATCAGTATTGAAATAAAATAACAAAATGCATTTGTGGGTCTGACCTCAGGACGGATTTTCAATAGTCAATACTACCTCTAACTCTCACTCCCCCTTCTCTGAGCATCAGCTTTATTCTTATTCCATCTTACTTAATTTGGCACTGACAGATACAGACTCATTCTTACAACATATACCATCAGAAGTGAAACCTTCACTGTCTCCAACTCTTAAAAATCTGAGATGCACTTTGACTATTCTCAGATCATGGGTCTATTACTTGGATCAAAAAGTACTGCACAGGGACAGTTTCAAGGTTGGAGTGACAAAGGAATAGCTCCCTAATGAGGGAGTATCATAGAAATGATATTTCCATGGTCATACTTTTGTGAACTAGGCAGACATCCCTTCATGTCAACTACATTTCTACTTTGAACAGATAAATATTCATGCATATACAAAATTATACAGTAATATAAGCATGACTTTTCATTAAAATTTTAACCAAAACAGTCTATTTAGGTGAATAAATACCGATACAGGAGATAGTTGTGCTTGAATGATCTTTACCCTTGGGGAGACATAAAGGAAAGAATGTCATACTTTATTATGAAATGACTGTCCAGCATATTTATGAGTAAACTTTCATAATAAATTATTGTCTAAAGTAAGCACAAAAATCCTTTTAATATCCTCTTTTAATACATAGAATAAATATAAGAAAATAGCACAAATGGTATTATGCCAGCACACAGAAATACTTGCAGTTAAAAGTCAATCCTATATTTTGAGAACTTGACAAAATCATAATTGAAAATAATGTATTGTCTTACATGCAGATGTTGTGTAATCAAGGACATCCAAATCAACTTACATCCAAATGTTTCACAATTAGTCTTATTCTGTGAAGTATTATAAAGCCATGCCCTCAGGAATATAAAAGCACAAAGGGAGCCAGGACTCCAAATAGCCATTTATTCATTTCCTAAGGTTAGGTACAGTGAGGACTGCATTTTCAACATTATCAGGGCCATAGAGACATTGGAGCTTAAGGATAAGATCCAATTTCATACCAATCTGTAAAAGGATAAGCCAGTGTAATGACCCAGATGTTCACCATAATAATTACCATCTTGAGTGATGATGCTATGAATACAAAGGAACACTGCATCTCTAAAACAAACTACATTTATGTGACATGAGACCAATTTTTGATGGAAAGAAGGCAAACTGTGAATGGTAATTTTGTCTTTTTAGTTGTTTTCATTGTGTGTATTCATATCTGAAAATACAATAGCATATAATTAGAAAAGTTATAACAAAATAAAATAAGATTAGAAGTCTTAACTTTTTATATCAAACGTTCTGCACACAAATATAGCCTTTTACTGATGATCTATGGCTCCAAAATATTGGTAGCTATAATTATGCTTTGTAAAACAAGCTATGAATGCCTTACTACAGAAAGACACAAAGAATCATTTCCTTACTCACTCACTGCTAGTAGACCCTGAGGCACAGCATTTCCTGCCCAGATACCTGATTATTAATCCAGTTTTCGTTAGGGGTATACTAACATTAACTAACGGAGATCGGTACTTAAACCAGTTAATGTAAAGAAATGCTGTAGGAACTGAAATATTCCTTTTAAATTAACAAAAGTGTTCTTTCTAGATAGACAAAGTTACATGAGGACCCAAATGTATACCAGAAAATCATTTGATGAATATGGAATTAATAAAAGAATGCTTTGTTATATGGTTTTAGTACTTTGTTGGTGCCAGGTTAAAGACATGTGGCCCTAGATAGGATAACTCTACAGAAGAGAATTTAATTTGTTTACCTGCTTCACTAGAAATCCAACAATTAAGTCAGTGACTCTATTTTCCAATATTCATTTCCTCCATTTTCTCATCTCTTTTTGATGGTATCATTTCGTTATTTTATTTTCTTTGAGATGGAATTCATTTTGGCTAAAATGACTTTTTGACTATTTGTGTGTGTATATATATGATTTTAAAATCAATGAACAGTATTATTTCTTTATTTCGAAGATTATCCCTCTATGTTCTCTAAAGTCGATACTGTGAAACAGTCCAGATATGAGTCTAGGAATGGCAGTAGGAAATACTGTAAAACTGGAAGCAACTTAATAGGTAATCAATAGGGAAAATGAAACTCAATATAATTGACTCTAGGTAATGTAATGATGCATTTATTTTACATTTTTCTTGCATTCCTGAGATAAGTCCTGCCTGGTTATAGTATATTATATGTTTTATGTTTTGCTGGATTTTGATCATTAGCATTTTGCTGAGGATTTTTTCCATCTATTTTTGTTAAAGATATTGTTCTGTGTTTTTGTTTTCTTTTTTTTTTTGATGCTATTGTCTGGTTTTGTTATTAGGGTAATACTAGCTTCATAGAATAAACTGGGAAGTGTATTCTCTTTTTTTTTTTTGCAAGAGTTTGTAAATAATTGTATTAATTCAACTTTGAAGGTTTGGTAGAAGCATTCTTGGCTAGAAGATTTTGTTGCTGTTGTCATTGTTTCCTGAGGTGGTAGTTTTGATTACTAAATCTCTTTACTTGATAAGATTTTATATTTCTCCTTGACTCATTTTTGCTAATTTGAATCTTTCTTAGAATTTGTCCAGTTCTTAAAAAATACCTAAATTTTAGATATATTTTTTCATAGGTACTTTTATAATAATTTTTTATTTCTTTAAGTTTAGTGTCCTTTTAAAAATTTCATTAATACTTGAATAGTTTCTCTTTCTTGTTGATCGGTCTATCTAAATTGTGGCCACTGCTGATGTGTTCAAAGAAACAATTTTTGGCTTTGTTGAGGATCTCAATTGTTTCTGTATTTTCTATTTCACTAATTTGTATATCCCTAATACTTTCTTGTGGTTGCTGTAGTTTTAATTTGCTGCTCTTTTTTCAGTGCCTTATGGTGGCAGGTTAGAGAATGTTATTTTTGAGTATGAGAACTACATTTATTGCATCACATAAGAGATATTATGCATTCTTAAAGTATTTTATCTTTTTTAAAGTATTTTCTAATTTATCTTACTACTTCTTCTTGGGCCCATTGTTTATTTAATAGCATGTTGTTTAATTTCCACATAATTCTGAGTTTCCCAAATTTTCCTATTGCTGATTTATTATTTTACTCAATTAATGTCTGAAAATATACTTTGTATTATTCCAATGTTTAAATTCATTGAGGTCTATTTTATGGCCTGGGATATGGTATTCCTGGGTAATGTTGTGTGTGCACTTGAGAATCTACTGTTGTTACAGTGTTCTTTAAATATCTAATCAGTCTAGTTATTTTATAGTATTGTTCAAGTGTTCTATTTCTTTATCGATCTTCTGCATAGTCATTTTATCCACTTTTGAAAGTGAGTATTAAAGGCTGCAAGAAGTATGTTAAATTGTCTAATTAATCTCCATTTTTGGAGGTTTCTACGTCAATGGATTTTGAAGGCTTTTCATCACACATATATATGCTTATAATTATTTATTTTTGAGATATTGGACCTTTATTTTTATGAAATATCTCCCTTTACCTCTGTAACCCCTTTTGTTTTAAAGTCTATTTTTTTCTGATGTTAATATAACAATTCCAGCTTTCTTGCGGTTACTGCCTGCATCATATAACTTTTCCATCCTTTTTTTCTATGAATTTTCATCTTTGGATCTAAAGTGTGTCTCCTGCAGACAACATGTGGATGGATCTTCTTTATTTAATTTGTTTTTCCTCCAGTCTGACAATCTTTTATTTGAATATTTAAATTCATTTTCACATGAAGTTACTAGTACAGTTAGATTTACATCCATCATTTTACTTCAGTTTTCTGTATACCTTATGTCTTTCCATTCCTCTATTCCTCCTTTACTGCTTTCTTTTGAATTAGGTATTTTTTATAAAACATTGAATTTAATAATATTTTATCTATGTTTTTTCAATGTTTCCCTGAATTGCTACTTTAGGGTTTACTGTAGACATCTTATCACAATCAATTGTAGATGCATAACAATTCTAGTGCCATATGTATATATAAATTTTACTTTTGTTCACTTTTGTGTACTTTGGCTCTCCTTTTTGTGCTATTGTTGCTGTACACATTACATCTATATTTGCTATATACCCAATAATTTATTGTTTATGTTACTTGATGATATGGTTTGTTGTTTTGTCCTCTCCAAAATTCATGTTGAAACTTAATTTCAATGTGACAGCATTAAGAGCTGGAACCTTGAGGGTATGATTAGGCTATTAGGGCTCTGTCCTCATGGATGGTATGAGTGTGTTATAGAAGGGCTGGAGGGAATTAGGACCCTTTGCCTTTTCATTCTTTCCACCATATGAAAATACAGCATTCATCCCCTCTGGAAGATGCAGTGTTCAAGGCACCTCAGCAGACACCAAACCTGCCAACAAATTGATCTTAAACTTCCAGCCTGCAGAACTATGAGAAATAAATTTCTTCTTTAAAAATTTCTCAGTCTCTGGTATATATATGTATCAGCATGAACAGACTAACACACTTGACGTAATTTTATGTCTTAAAAAAAGAGATAAAAAGAAACGTACTATGTATTTACAGCTTTTGTTATATTAACAGTCTTATTTATTATTTCAGGTCTTTTCATTTGTTCAGCATTTGAAACTTCTTCCTGACACCAGAGGGGCTCTTCTTAGCTGTCTTTTTCCTGGGTTATTCCTGGTAAACTAGCTGATATTTGTTTCAAAGCATATGTCTCTAATAAAGTGCCAGTCTCTCTTATTTGCTTTTTACCATCACTTCATTGTTTTTCAAAGTACCCTTATGGTTGAATTTCCCCAAACTCTTCTTTTGGGAAAAGCTTTACACTCTCTGCTCTATGTTCTGCCCCTTCCTTTGGGCAAAGCTTCTGAGCTTTGGCTCTGGTGATTGCAGCAAAGAGAGCAGCATTCTCCTCTCGGAGTGACAGCCCTTCCTGGAGACTGGGTCACTGGGATGAGAAGTAGCCATTGGTAATCTCAGCTTGCCACTCCTGGAATGAGAACTTTGCCTTACAGACAAACCAGAAAGAAGGCAATCAGAGCTCAATGTTCTCAGTGTGTTGCACCCAAACAGTCCTCATTCCATGAATTAGAGCTGGTAGGAAGAAGTGACATCCTACTTCTTGGCCACATTCCACAAAAGCTTAATCTCAAGAACAGGTAGTGGCAGTAGGTGGGGGTTGAAATGAAAAATTCTGATGTACTATTACTCCCAGAAAGATGCTATAGCCCCCCAGTGGGGTCTAGTAAAAGTTCTGTGTTCTTGGCTACATTGCCTTGAGTAGAATTTATATCAAGATAGTCTGTGAGAAAGAGAAGTAAGAATGGGTTGTGGATAAAATGCAAAAAAACTCTTACTGTTCTTAGTTTCAGTAGATTTTCTTGAATAAATACTTCATCATTTTCTATGTACCATTAAGACTTTTCAAGTGACATAGGTGATGGTTGTTGTATAATTTTCAACAATTTTATAAAAGATTCATGGAGCTCTTCACATAGCCATTCTAGAGGTGGAACTTCAGCATTTCTTATTTAAGGAAATTAAGGTTTTCTTTAATTTCTCTCCCTTCTTCTAAAATATGCTTTCGAATCTCACTCTCTACAGCAAATTGGGTCTCAGTATATTTCTTTCTCCAAGAGAAGTCTGTTAGATACTCAAATAATTTTTGTTTTACATTGTTATGTTTGAAAGGTTGTTTTGTTGTTAAAAGACAATAGGAAGATCAACATGAAATCCTCACGCTCATTGTATGAATATTATGTTTTCATTCAGAAAGAGTTACAATATATTTGAGTGCTCATGAAGCTTTAAAAAGAAGTGGATTAAGTAATCAATCTCCCTAGACAGATAAAAAAGCACATGATATTTTGGTATTCCCCAACTTTTATTATTTGACTTTCATGTTCTAGCAAATAACTTCCAACAATTTGTCAACTTACTTGCACAGTCATTTATATTTTATATTATTAATTCCATTATTTATGCATGTGTCGAATAGACTTTAATATATAGAGTAGATGTTGACACACTCAAATTTGTAACAAAGTGAAAAATTACTTTGATACATATTTCTTTTTTTCTGACAAAATTCTGAAGTGCTTTTCCATCTCTTCTAAAACAACATATAGAAAACATGTTTTTTTCTCATTATTAAATACATGACTCGCAATACAGCAAAATTAATTGGCTATAAAGCAAACCTTTAAAAGAGAATAGTTTGGTGAAAAATATAAGCATTCTTAGTTATACATAAGATCCCACAGAGCCAATTTAACTTTTTATTCCAGATTTATGTCCCAATTTAAAACTTTAATTCCTACTGTCTAAGCATTGTGGCTAAAAGTATGAGATAATTAATTACTCCTGACATCCAACTTTTGTGATCATAGTAGGTGACATTCCTTTGAAAAAACTTGAAAATTTTCTGCTAAATGTTATGTTTGTGTATGGGTGTAGAGTTTCATTTTCAAAACAAGCTCTCACATATAAAAGTTAAGTGTTTTAATTATCTTTTAAGACTATGTCCTTGGATGCTATGCTGTATGCCAATATTTATACATGTTGAATATGCTTTCATTTAACTTACATAGCCATAATGCTTAACTTTAAGCAGAGATTCCTTATTAATTCTGATGAATGTTGCTAGAAAATACGCTGAAAATAAAATATGTTAGAATGATTTTTAATAAAAAGATTAAAGGAAAGAAGCTAGCAGAAGAGCCAGCACCACAGAAAGCAAAGTCACATTCTGGATCCAAGCAATGTTTCCATGAACAAAGAACCAGCAAATAGAATTCATGAGATGGAGCAGAAGCAAGAGAGTGAAGAGGAAGTAGACTTTTTTTTTGTTTTTGTTTTTTATTTGTTTTCTCATGAGAAGAGTGTACTAGTAGTAGAAATAACTTCTATGAATGAGACCAGAAAGACATAGGTAGAATATCTGGACCATCTGTATAGGATAGGTAGTTATTGTATTGTGTGTTCTGGAGGTAAGATTTATATAAATTCAAGCCTACAATATTATCAAGGTCCGTTAAGCAAGCATCCATTAGACAGCAAGAAAGACTAAGAGGCTTTCAAACTACCAGTGTCAATAGTTAAATGTGAAGCAAATATATAGACATTTGATACTATGACAAAAAATAATAATGAAAGGTTTATCATAATATAATATAATATTTTGTTCTCCTGTTTGGTAATTATATAAAGGTACATACTAGTTTTTCAAAACTTAACTAATCCTCTTTAAATATATTTCTATGAAATCTCCTGCTATACTTGGGAAACAGTTTACAGTGTGAACTCATTTTGTAGGATTTTTTTTTAAAGAATCATGAAAGAATAGCGATAAATTTAAATAAGTTTGCCAGTTGAATCATGTATGTGATAAAAAGGCTTTATATTTCTGATTCCTAAATCAGGGCATGACAGTACGAATCATAAATCAATTATTCTTATGTCCATTGTACAATTATAGAAGAATAATGCCAAACCTTTTTTGAATGAGGGTGTGTCATGAGCATCAAAAGGGAAAAAAAAGTATGAAAATCCCTAAGAGTTTTACTCTGGAGAGTCATGTAGATTGTGCGTTCTTTAGCTAACATTTTAAAACAAATATCTGAAATCACTTGCTTAACCCCTTTGAATAATATACTATTGCCCTTAAGAGAAATTCAGTAATCTACTAAAGGTCCTTTTCATATAACCCTGACTTCTTTCTCCAGTCACGTGCCCTTACTGGTGTCTATGACCCAAACACACTAGTTGTGTCTCAATTTCGCTAAGATGTTCTGCATTCTTTCTTCTCACAGCTTTTATGTCTATTGCTGCTTCTTCAAGGCATATTCTCTAGTATTTGCTAGCTACTGTCTATTATTTTGAATCAGTTTAATGGTTTATTTTCGAGGAGACAAGGGCAAATTTTGCTGCTCTATATTCCCATAGTATTGTGGTCTTCTCTTTATTAAAAACTCATCGGGCTAAAAATTGTTTGTGATTCCCATTTATTTACCTGCTAGATTCTAAATTCCATGAGGACTGGAAATGCAACCCTTTATTTACCTGTGTATCTCAAACATTGTATTCCTCCTGTGAGATAGTCATGTATTTATTAAAATGAAAGAAATTTTTATGTCTATAGACTGCATTACCAATACCTCTTGCACTATGAAATTTTCCTTAATTTCAAAAAAGCCAAACATTGTTTTTTTCTCATTTATATAGTTTGAAATTCTTTTCTGGCAATAATGTTTCACCTATAAAAAGACCTATTAAAATTTATTTAATAATAAGGGGAGGAATAAAATAACTATGCATTTTTTTGTTGAAAGCACAATTGTGTCTGATACTTTAATTACACTATCTAATTTAACCTTTCATAAATGCCCAGAATATGAGAATATCATCCAAGATTTAAATACCAATTACCAAAATTTACAGCTATCAAATGGAAGACTCAGGTTTATGCTATGCCACGTTTTCTCTTCTTTCCTTTTTGTGATGGTGTTCCAAATTGTGGAGAAAGAAAACATTCTATTTGTGATTGCTTCTGCTAGTTACTTCTGCAAAACAAACTACTCAAATTCAGTGGTGTGATGCAATAACCATTTTGTCATCCTCATATATTCTGGGGTCAGGGGGTCAAAAATGCAAAGTGGGGTGACATCTCTGTGGTCTACAGTAATTGGGGCCTCTGAGAATTCCTAGATATCTAGGAATGAATTAAACGTTGGACAATGAAGTTTTCTGAAAGCTTCTTTACGTTTGGCTCCTGCATTGGTATGACTTAAAGGCTGCGCTCAAAATAATCTCTTAACCAGAGTGTCTGAATATTGCTGCTTCATGTAACTTGAGCTTCCTCACAACATGGAATCATACAGGTAGCTTGCCTGAGTGTTGCAGTTAATGGGTCAATGTATTGCCTTTAATAATCTTGCCTCAGAAGTCACATAGAATTACTTTAATGCTGAGTTGGTTTAAGCAATCACAGCCTGTCTGACTTCAGGGGGAAGAAACATGATGTCTACCCTTTGATGTGAGGACATTCAAAGTATTCGTGGCTATATTTTAAAAAAGCCACAGTTATCTTCTTTTTAAAGAGATGCCATATCCTTATTATCAGCAATAGAATCAGGATTTGAAAATAGTTCTTATGCTACATATGCATTTTTTATAATCATTCTTTCTATTATAATCTTTTTCAGAAAGGGTGAAGGGGTAAGGATTATGTTTCATACTTTGTGAAATTCTGTGCTCTATAAGCATTTTTATTTTTTGTCCATAATAGATGATGGTACAAAGTAACTCAAAACTAGAGTGTATAAACATAAAAAATACAAGTTTTCATATCCAAGCTGTGGATAAGATATTCAAATATAAAAAAGATTGTGAATTTGTTTTAAAAAGTCTTCTAATTTTGTAAAAAGAACTAAGATAATTGTCCACTAATCACTCATTAAATCTCCTCCTTAGTTCTACTTCCACAAAAGCTATTACCATCTATGATTAATTTGGATTTCAGAGGAAGAAAATACAGTTTGAGGAAAATGGATTGTTGGAGCAATCTCAATGTTAACTACATAAAATAGCTTATTACTTGAAAAATGAGGATATTGTATGAATTTTCGCAAGTCAATTGGTAGCAAAAACGACATTTAAGTGATTGTAAATATGTCATATATAAAACTATCTTGTAAAGATGTTACAGAGATATTATATGTTACTAGCTTCTGGATTCAGAAAAATAACTGGAACAGATTTAAGTTGGGTAATTGTAGTGTGTCTAATAATTTTAATACAAGGTAAAAACATTTTCTGTTGAAAATCAGTTTTAATATTGTTTGGTTTTATTTATATTTTGAAAATTTAAGGATTCTTGAATATTCTTAAGTAAATTGCAATTTAATGCAATTGTAGTTATACTCAGTAATATAGTTACACTTGATTAAAGCCATTATAAAGGAAATGTAATCCCATACTGATTATCTTCACATTTCTTTTGGTTAAAGATCAGTCTGTTTCATTGAGATAACAGTTCAGGAGAAAAGTTATTGACTACATGTATCTATAGTATTGTCTAAGCAACAGGAGTTTAGTTTGCATGTTTTTTATTTTTGAGAGTACATCAACGTAATGAAATGTATTTAAAATTGTACCCATATATACATAATGATATATATATATATTTATGTTTTACAGCAGTGTTTTTCCTTGGAGATGATTCAATCAAATTGCAGAAGAGACACTTCTAATTAATTATTGGGAAGTACAAGCTAGGATTATTGTTTTCCTGAACGTTTGTGACTAGCAGTGATCTCTTACAGACGTGGGGGTCTGGACACTTGGACCTTAAATTGGAAATGGTTAAAAAATTGTTATCCAAAGAATGACAATGGTTTGTTTGCCAAGTCTTTTTGTTTTGTTGTGTTTTGTTTTTTGAGACGGAATCTGTCACCCAGACTTGAGTGCAGTGGCGTGATCTCGGCTCACTGTAACGTCCACCTCCTGGGTTCAAGCAATTCTCCAGCCTCAGCCTCCTGAGTAGCTGGGATTACAGGCAACCGCCATCATGCCCAGCTAATTTTGTATTTTTAGTAGAGATGGTGTTTCACTATGTTGGTCAGGCTAGTCTTGAACTCCTGACCTCAATGAATCCATCTGCCTCAGCCTCCCAAAGCGCTGGGATTACAGGTGTATGCCACTGCGCCCAGCTGCCAAGTCTTTTTAATGTTAGTATTGCTGTTGAATATATCTGGTGTTTTCATTCAAGAAAATACTTAAAAGCCATTTTAGGGGCCGGGCGCGGTGGCTCACACCTGTAATCCCTGCATTTTGGGAGGCTGAGGCAGGTGGATCATAAGGTCAAGAGATTAAGACCATCCTGGCTAACACAGTGAAACCTCGTTTCTACTAAAAAAATACAACAAATTAGCCGGGCTTGGTGGTGGGCACCTGTAGTCCCAGCTACTCAGGAGGCTGAGGCAGGAGAATGGCATGAACTTGGGAGGTGGAGCTTGCAGTGAGCCAAGATTGTGCCACTGCACTCCAGCCTGGGTGATAGAGTGAGACTCCGTCTCAAAAAGAAAAAAAAAAATCAACACCTAAAAATTTACTTTCTTCTAGTCAATTTATTTCGATGTGCATCATAAATTAATAACAAAAGGGGTAGATATTTTATTGAGCTATGGTTCCTGAATCAAAACCACAATCTGGAGGTTTCCGTCTCTTCATAAAAGAAGTTAAAACTCAGTGCATGTTGCTAGACGTCATTTAAATGATCTTCATTCTTCTCTGTCCAAGAGCAATGTGTGAAGTATTAGGCCAGAAAGAGAGATATAAATAATCTTTTCCCATGCACCCCATGCTGGTCACAGAAGCTGGCTCTTTAAAGTTTGAGTAACTGTCACTTTGTCAGGCATGGTTATAAAGTTTCCAGAAAGAACTAGTAAGGAGCATTAATATAAGATTTCCCCAGATGCCAATTTTGTTTTCTGCTATATCTCACTCCTCTTTGAATTTCCTCATACAATTTTCCATTTAAAATGGAGAATTCAGCTTTCTTGATCCTATAATAAACACATTTGTCTTTATTTGATACAACTTCTCTTGGCAAGCATATTGATTTTTTTCTTTTACAAATAGTCTGGCATTTTATAAAAAGACACATTAAAATATCTTTATGGATAGGCAGATGATCTGATATCTGAGCTTTAGCAGTTAACTCTTTAATATTTAATGTATATCATTCAACAGGTATTATCCACTTCCTACTTGGAAATTAAACACTTTTCTGCTACATATCTCATCTCAATTAATAAATCTAATTGTGCATGCTAAGGTTTATTACTTGCAACACTCCTTTAACAAGTACAACTGACTCAGGAACATATGGTAAAAATACTACTTAACTCTCTTAATAATTAGCTTATAACCAGTGTGAGCAAGTAAATATTTGAGAATCATCTCTCCACCGGGCGCCGTGGCTCACACCTGTAATCCCAGCACTTTGGGAGGCTGAGGCGGGTGGATAACGAGGTCAGGAGATCGAGACCATCCTGGCTAACACGGTGAAACCCCATCTCTACTAAAAACACACACAAAAAATTAGTCGGGCATGGTGGCGGGTGCCTGCAATCCCGGCTACTCAGGAGGCTGGGGCAGGAGAATGGCGTGAACACGGGAGGCGGAGCTTGCAATGAGCCGAGACTGCGCCACTGCACTCCAGCCTGGGCGACAGAGCGAGACTCCATCTCAGAAAAAAAAAAAAAAAAAAGAATTATCTCTCAAAAAAGTTTTATATGCAACTTTTTAAATGTTTTACTAATATAAAGACGCAGAGCATATAACACACAAGTAATAAAATATTAGTTCCCTTTTCAGGGGGAGTTTTTGTTAATTTTTGCCAAACTCTTAAATCCATAGATAACTGACTGCAATCAGCAAATGAATAGAGTTTCAATATGAATATTGGTTACTATTTTTATGTACATTAGTGGTAAGATAGAAGTAAAATTAATTAAAACCTTTACTTGTTCACCAATGATAGAATCACTTTTCTGAGAATCATGAATATTTAATACAAGGATATGTCCTTGTATGTTGGGGCTGTTCGCAATGTAATGGTTACAGACACAATTTAAAAAATAATTTGCATTATTAGAATACTTTTATTCATTCTTCATTTTTACTTTTATTAATTACTTTTATTAATTCTACACAATCAAAATATTAAATCTAACCCTGATATGCGGTGTTAATTTTCATGCTGTAAATATTCTCTTCATGACGGAATTACAAGGTACAACCTAAGGCCACTAATAGGGAGCTGGAGAGATGCACATTAGCTTGCCATTATATAATGTTGCCATGATACAAACGTCATCTATGTAAGTATTTTTGGTAGCATAAATCACAGCAAAATATAGCAAAATACTTAGGAAGTGATGAATTTAAGTAATTTATTTTCCTTATTTTTAATATAATTTAATTATAAATTAACATGTTTATTTTAATAATTTCTGTGTCTAAAAATGACCTCAAAAAATTTCTAAAAATTTAATAGTTGGATCTCACAAGTTGATATGAGATAGCTCTCAAACACAATTGTGTATAACTAAAAAGTCTAGAATTATAGTTAATTTTAGAGTCAGGAAATAAAATGATGTGGTCAGAATTTTATTTCTCTTATCTAGGGAACAGCTAAGATTTAATTTTATGTCTAGATTGGGTCACATGTTCATATCTGGACAAATCAATTACAACCATCCAGTTGGAATCCCCTGGTCAGAACTGGGTCATGGACAAATTCTAGAATTTACAGATTTACTAGGTGCACCTAAACCTCGTTGATTCAAACTTGAAAACATTATTCCATCAAAGAAAACTGGCGAAAAGAATTGCTAAACATTTATTGCATACTCTTTCCAAAAATATATACCTACAGTATAAAATACTAACTAGTAATGAGAATGTTTATTGAAAATTTACTATATTTCAAACACTCTGCTAAAAACTTTTACATATTATCTCATTAGATAAAATAATACAACTTTATCATTCATATTATTTATCTCCATTTTAAATATAATTAAGTCTCTAGTTATATCTTCCTATTTAAGATCACGTATGGAAAGTATTAGCATGGTGCAAAAGCAATTGCGGTTTTGCCACTAAAAGCAATGGCAGATTACTTTTACTTGTAACGGTAGATTGTAACGTGTTAAAATCTGTATTCCAATCTTGACTCCAAAACTTGCATTTTACATATAGAATGCAGCACTCCTAGTGAACCCCACATTCTCATCATTAAAAGTCCATTCACTTTTGTTCATGGCACTTTCGATCATAGTGTCATAGAATATTTTAGCTGCAGAACAAAGCTACCCATTGCCTAGAACATGAAAATAAGTGGGAGGTACTGTCAATCTAGGATGAAAACAGTAGAACATGGTTCTAATGTAGGAAGAATGTCTTCTTTAGGAGATCAATAAATAGTTGATCAGACAGAAACATGTGATTGACTAAGTTTGAATAATGAAAAAAGAGAAAACTAGAGTGGCAAGTAATGAGCTGAAGCTGGGGACACATGAAAAAGTAGTAGAAAAAACTTCCCGAAGGAAAAGTTGCAAATGCCTTTATTTTTGTTTATTTTAGGTCTATATGGCTCGATTAAGCTTTTCTTCCCAAATCCATATATTCCAGGTAGATACAATGAACTTCATTAGATTTGCTTCCAACAGTTTGTAGTCATTGTTTAATTGGGGATTTTTCTGCTACTCCAAATATCATATGGAATCCCAGTCATCTCTTAGTGTCTTTTTTAAAAATGAATTTGCCAATATTTTATAGGTAATACAAGTCCAGAATAGTAAAATTATCCAATAAAAGCAAGCCAACAAATCAATTAATCTGAAAATAAAATTGTCTCCTGAAATTCTACTATGTAGGGGTCATTGCTGTTAAACATTAGGGCCCTCCACTATTGTGGGGCCAATTTAGTTCTATACACTTTCTGATACTCTCAACCGTGTCACTACAACATGTATCCCTTGTCCTGAACACGAAGTCTTTTTCTGGTTCTTCTACTCCCTCAAATTCTTAAAATTAGACCCAATATTGTCTGAAGGAAGAACTTGGGGCTGGGAATTAGGATGTTATCAATGAAAATGATGTAATCTAAAGGACACTGGATATCTTTAGATACATATTAACAGATGAAATATGGCTAGCAACATAGAAGCATAAGACATTGTGAACAGAAAAGAAGAAGATGAAATTATCTAAAATCGGAAGTATAAAAAAATCAAGGACATCGGAAGTCAGTCTAGGGGAGCAAAGTTTACTCTATTTTTTAAATAATAATTTTCTTTCATTTAATAATATATTCTTTAGAAATTACAAGGCTAGGTATTAAAACTTGTGATATCAGTGTGCTCAAATTATGTCTACCTATTGGAGATTATCACTTCTATCTTTTCAATTTATGTTTTAGAAAAATTACTTGTTCCTGTTTAAATGTATATTCATCCCAATATAAAATACACAAATAAAATGATGTAGTAGACTCAATACTTTAAGAAAAAAACTTAAATTCTAACATTCTGTAGTTCTTCCACATCTCATTTGTAAAACAAGTAACTGGTTTTTAAATTAATGCCCCATAAACAGGTTAAATTTATTTTTAAATTTGCCCTGCAGAGAAAGGGGTTGTAGCATTTTATTTTCAACATATAAAATCAATCTAGATATTGAAATAACCTTGTCATTGGCAGATATTCTAACAGATGATCTAAACACTAATTTTTGCCTATGACTTATAGCAATTTTTGATTTGAATCTGTAGGACCTAAAATACTTTTTACTCTGAACACGTCACCAAACAGTGCAAGACTTTAAGCTAAAAGTAGCTAGGAAATGTACAGGGACTCTTAAGGTGTTTGAAACAAAGATTTTATGAGGCTTATCCTCTGCTGAAAGAAAAAAAATCATTTCTTCATTTCCGATAATGTCAGAATAGATAGGCCATTGTTGCACACATAACTGAGTCTGACTGTAAGAATGAATTATGCCAGGTGAAATCCTCTAAATGCTTACTTAACGCTATAGGATGAAAATTTACAAGCAAGAAAAGTTGCAAAGGAAGCCTCGGGGAAAGGAAGAGAGTATCAACATCACAATGAAATCTGCATTTGCCATTTTAAGTCAGTTAGTGTAACAGGAATTAGAGAAGCCTGCTGTATTTAAAAATCATCTTTTGCCCTTGTGTGCATGTGTTTCAGCATTGAAATAATCAGTCGTCTTTCAAATATGATTTGATAGCATAATTAAAGTACCCCACTAGCACAACTTTCGAAGCTAAGCTTTTCCTTTTTCTAGTGCACTTAGAAATTTTTTCACTTGTGTTTGATAGCCCAGACCAATTGACTTAGAATTCCCTGCCTGATATTGTAAAGAATTTACTTCTATTTATGTCTTTTAACACATAAAATGTTCTAAACTGTCACATCTAATTATGGTAGCATGTAGGCAATGAAGCCTAACAGGACATCTGACTAAACTAGATGTGCCATGTTAGTATCACAATACATCAAATTTGATATAATGCCCTTTTTTCACTTTATATTATAAAATATTTGATTTTGCTTTTTCATATTTTTTGCTTTTAGATTCAGTAATATATAAAAATATCAAGTTTTAAAATTTAGTGAACCCAACACCTAACGCCTTGAAGTAATTAACAAATAAGACGACATGTCTTTGCCTGTGCATATGCATGTAAACATATTTATGAATACAGTCATGTTGGAGGGCGTGATTTACACAGCATCTTTTAGATATTCAGAGGGTACTTTGGAGCAGCCTATACTTTTGATTTTTAGCAATGTTCTTGCAAATCAGTCATTCAATTCTACTGGAATGAGATTTAAACAGTCCAAGTATGGCTGTGTATTCATATGCTTCTCCTTGTGTCCCTCTCCCCTCCCACCACCCCAAGGCTCTGGTAAAGACATTTTTGTTTTTGTTCTCCAGACTCCTTATATAGGTCTAATCTATTACTCTTTATTCACCAATGTCTGTATATTGCAGTGACTAATTTCTTATTATTCCTCTACCGAGACTCTTCTGCAAAATTCTTGGGAAAATGAATTCATTAAGTCTTCTTACATTCTGGTTGCAGTTTATGGTTGGCCCTTAGATTTTGGGAGTCAAGTATACCATTCACAGCCTAGAGAGACAAACATGATAGCAGTTGTTTTCTTTTGGATAAAGGAGTTAAGATTTCTTCCATATAAACAGTTGGGGAAAAAGCAGATATATTTATTAGGCCTTATTTAAGAGTTTATTGATTCTGTTTAAGAAAATCATTAAAAACATCAAAAAAAAAAAACAGTGTGGAAGGAACTTTCAATGCTGAACATTGAACATTGAAACTTGAATGTTAAAGCATGAACATTGGCTTTCAAACACACCAACAAAACAATTATATATATGTAACTTTCACTGTATGAATTTACATGCCAATTTGTAGATGTCTCTTTGTAGAAAAGAAAACATGAAAGATTAATATATTGTTTTATAGGCCATTAACAAGTGCTGTATTTTATCTAGCAGTCTTATTTTAACATTTTTTCCCACATTATATGCCAGTTCCACAAAATGTATTTTAAACCAGTTTTACCTTCTTTTCGGTTCCTTCGTTAATGAGTTCTATATAGTCTTAAAATATGTTTATCCTAGGTTTGTGTGAGAATCATCTTTTTAATATTAAACTTCTAAATTTTGGTTATGTCCCAGATAAAAGATGAAAAGAAATGATCATACTTTTGAGGCATTTTTTTATTCCAATTAATGTCTGTAATAAATCTATTAAATTTAGTTCAAGAAATATTTATGGAATGACTACTTATACAGGTAATGTGATAGCACCTGAAAGGGGAAAGGTTTCCTTGTCCACCTTGCAGGGCATGTGACAGGGGAAGTGGCTTGCTTCTTCAGTGCCCTGCTGCTCAGACCTCTCAGGGAGGATACAGATGGGCAGGCTGTGGGGCTCCGACCCCACGGCAGTGTCCGGGGGTGAATGTTTACAGCTCCTGAAGCCCCAGTGGGTGAGTGATATAGGGTGCTCTTTTAGTTTTGCCATCTATGGGCTTGTGTTAACCACCTCAGTTACACCCCCTACCATGTTGCAAGGACAGAGGGCTTTCTGTACCCCAGGTTCTTGCCTTGATGTACTGGAAGAATTGGCTCACACCTGAGCTTGGAGAATTAGTACAAGGTTTTATTTAGTGGCAGTCTCTCTCAGCAGATGAGGTAGCCAGAAGGGAGACGGTTTTTCCCTGATGTGGGGCTGTGGAGCTTCTCCAACTGCTCTGGCCAAATTTTGCATCATTCTGCTGGCCGATGGCCTGCTGACCTGCTGGTATCTTCCACCTGCGTGCTCCTCTTGACATCCTCTTTACGTATAGCTGCTTGTGTGTCTGCCTGCTAGGGTCTCAGGGATTTTTACAGACACAGGATGGGGCATAGTGGCCGAGGGTGGTCTTAGGAAATGCAACATTTGGGCAGAAGGCAGGTGATGCCCTAGCCAGGGACCATGCCCTCCTTTACCCAGCACTTCCCTTCCCCACTTCTGCATCATTTAAAGGGACCATGACCTTCCCTTCCCAGCACTCCCACGTCACAGCTACTCATAAAAAGTGGCTACCATCTGGTCGCTTCACTCCAAGAGATCCATATAAGAAAATTTAAAAGAAGATATAAAGATAATAAATGATAAACATTTATAGATAGTCATAATAAAGTGGATCATAAGAAAGGTGAAATGCTGTAGAAACTGATTAAATAAAAATAACTTTATCTACAAATTCAGAGGATATCCCATTCCTACTAAAAATTAAGTACATATTCAACTTACGTTAAAAATGACACTGTAACCGCTCTTCTACTCTCGATGAAATCAACTTTTCTGTCAAAGTTAAAGGATGGTACTGTACAGCACTTCTCACCATATTTTTTTCAACTTTTTTCTTTCTATTCTAACAACCCTTTAATTTTCTCAACATTCTTGGCTGATGCCTCTTACTTAATGCCCCAAGTATTCAACAGTCAGCTACTTGGAACGTGACTGATATGGTGGATATGGATGTTTCCGCTGCCTTTAAGGACTTCAATTGTAACTGAACAGTAATCACAGACAAAAAGCCTTATGAGAAAATAACTAGTTCTCCACAATTTAACACTCTCAGTAAAAACCACCCATGACTTCATTATGTAACATTCTTTGTTTTGGTATAAATATGAAAAAAATCAGATTCATAACACATTTGTCTTGAATTTTTTTTGCTCATAAAGAAGAATTTTATCAGGAATGCTCACCACTTCTACTGCCTGAGCTTTCTATTAGGCATGATTTTAGATGCAAAAATGTTTCCTAAATGAGGTTTTATATTGATCTCCCATTATACTCAAGCACTCCCTAACATAAAAAACCTCACAAGTACATAGTAAGTTTGAAGATAACAGATTTATAATTTTGATTTTCAATAAAAAGTACTTTATCCTATTTTACTTAGAAGAGAATAGCATATTTAGAAATGAAAAACAGTTTTCACTTTTTAATGCAACTAGTTAAAAATAGTTAACTTTATTTTGTAGTACTTAAGACAAAAATGATATACTTGTAAATATTACAGATACATTTTTAAGTTGACAAAGTATTCTCAGCCATTTTAAGTTATAATCTTTCAAAGACAAAATATGCTACTACAGAGGATCCAAGATGATAGGTCTGATCTGTCAGTCATGAGGGTTTATAACAAATAGTATAGATTGAAGCAGATCAAGCATGAAGTCCAAGAAAATCATCTAATGCTCTGTTGTGTTGGCAAATTCCAAAGGTGTGGAGATTATAAAATTAGAAAGAGGCAAGTGAATAGTTTGAGAGACAGTGGGCTCATCAATGGAGACATGACATAAACAACAGAATTACTTTACAAAAGGAAAATGGACATTTTTCAGAGACTATCATCCCACTTATAATTGCTTTAACTAGTGCACAAATGACTTCCTAAGATGACAGGTATCAATCTTTCATCAACCTTTCTCTGCAGTGATGCATAGAACAGATGGTGTTAAGGTATCCAATGGAAGTGTCAAGGTCCATAACATAGGATACAATAAAATAAAATCACTGCAATACTTATTCCACTGTTAGAAAAAAAGATAACAAAAAATAACATACCAGATTACTGGCGTTGAGGTTGAGCATGACTTTGCAGGAATGACCAGGGCCTAAAATATGCCTCCCATTTATTGCAATGGGTATTTATGAGGCCAAAACTCTGTTCATATATTAGAAAAGGTGTTGGAGAAAAAAATGAGAAAAAGAGAGGTGTGGTCCCTCCCTGCTGTCACAAAGTTTAACTCAAGTAACGTGTACTCAAGCAAGCAAGCAACATAGCATATTGCAATAGTGTTTTAATAGGAAAATACAAGTTAACTGCAGCAGCATATTTAGGAGAAAACAATTTTCCAGGAAGGATTTTCAGAGACATAGTTATTACTCATCATACTTAATACATACATACATTTATAATAGGTTCTACCTTTGTATACTACAATTCAAATGTACCAACTTATTTTCTTTAGTCTATACAAGTTTCTTTAGTCTACACGAGTTTATCTTGTCCCATTACTCCTATTATTTAAAAAAGAAGAAAAATACATACATACATATGCATATACACATCTATATGTATATGATAACTCTATCTCTACTGATTTAAAAATAGTTAATACTAATCAATTCAAATGTTCTCTCAAAGTCAACCAAAATTAATAGCCCATGCTCAGAAATCATATATAAATCTAAAGTCTTCACACTTACGCTGTACCTTCATGAATTTTTGTTTATGGAAATCAATATTTTATGCCAAAAATAGAATGCTTCTTAGACAATAATTGAAAGAAGGAAATTCATTGTATAACAGAAGATTAGCAGTTGATTGAGACAAAGAGATTGTTATATGATGAGTTAAAATGTTTAATTGTGTTTGGATCCTATATCAGAACTAATTTCCTCTCTTTTTAGGTTAGCATTGAGGTGAACCCCTTGATGATAAAGCCATGTCATCACCTGTTTTACTCTAAACAAAGACATTTATAAAAATGTTAAACCTGATTATATTTCATAGTATTAAGAAAGATTCTTGTGTAAGATTGTTATTAATTTTTACAATGCTCCTGATGTTAGCTGAGGTAAAATCAATTAGAACAACCGTATCTTAGGAAAATAGAGTCAATGAGCAGAGATTATCACATATTTAAAGGAAATAAAGCAGATGAAAGCTGTTACTGAGGAACGAAGTAAAGAGAGTTTGAGACAGTGGAAGATGGAACAGGAAGAAAAAAATAAGATGGTGATATCGCTTAAAATCATTTTGGAAGAGTCATTTACACACTATGGATGAATAGCAATTTATTCCTGGAAAATGCTTGTTGCCCAGGTTGTGCAAATTGTCAGTTATGGATAGATTTAGTTATTGATCAATCATACTGCTTTCAAGAATTTTAATCTGTTTTGATTTCTTAAAAAGTTCCCGTGTATATAAACAAAGTCCATTTACTTGATGGCATTATATTAACCTTAGGATATTTGGAGGACTTTGCATACGTGGAGACAAGGGCATTCCAGATGTCAGATGTTTTCAGGACAACCCTCTCACCTAGTGAAACAGATTGTATGTTTTTTCCACTGTGGCTTGCTCCTATTTATTTCTATTTCCTTCAGCCCAGAAAGGATTATTGTAATATTGATATATTGATGTATTATTGATGTATAATTATGATATATTGATGTAATATTGATATATTACATCAGCATTTTTTAAATTCTTACATTAATCTATTTAAATTGAGGTCCTATTTTACCTCAAAGATATCTATTACCTGTATTTATCTATCCAATCGAGTTCGTGCCACATATATTTTTTTTAATTCTGCAATTCCTCTGAAGTTTTTAAGATCTTTTCTTGCTGGTTAGAATAATCCTCAAGTTTTTCTAATCATAGCACTTTTATTTTCTCATTCTTCCGATTAAAATTCTATCCTCTTCATTTAAAAAGGTGAATATATTTGGAACTGTCATCTCCAATGAATGAAAAGCAATTAGAAACCCTAGATAAGATAAATGAAATAATTATTACAAACCATTTTAAAATTTGTTAATTTTTCCAGATTTCTATAAAAAGCAAATGCAAATAGGAAAGAAACAAGAACTGGGCTTTCATGGGTTTTCATATATTTTCCAATCTGAGCTGTCTTCAAGACTTGAAGATTAACTAGTGGTAAACAAGAGAAAATTTAAAATGAGGATTATAAATGTAGAAGTTATCAAAGATTACAATTTTTTAAAATCTCAAAGCTTTTGTTTAAAGAGATTCCCATCAAAGGAATTTGTATCAAAAAGAAAATGAATAAATCTGAAATGTAATTAGAATCAATAAGAAAATATCAGAGCTGGAAGAACATTAATAAATCCTTAGTAAAAATAGCATTATACAGATGAAAAAAGAGTCAGGGGTCAAGAAACTTAATTGATTTGTCTAAGGTCATGTTATTTGTCAATTCATTTCCAAGACCAGTGTTTCTCCAAATAGAGATTAATGAAAAGAAGAAAGAAAAAGAAGAAAAAGCAGATCTCCACTTTTTTTTTTTTTCACCTGGAGGTCCTGATTCATTTGGTGTGGAATGGAGCATTCAAATTTCCTGTTTCCTTGGCTAGCAGCAGAAAACTATTAAATGGAAGAAAATAAGATGTGAACTGAAGTGGTAGAAAAAAGTAAATGAAAAAAAAACAGAACAGGAGACTTTGTTTTCGGCAGTTTTTTAATTATACATATAGCTCCCTCAGCAGCCACATGAGGAGGGCCGGCTGGGTCTTTCTCCATTCTTTGGGCGAGTATATTTCAAAATATGCTTAAGAGACTATCACATCCAAATCACCAGAGAGGAGATCGTAGCTAGTCCCAGGCTTTTTTCAATGTAACTTAGTAAAAATCCGTGTGAATAGTTCCCCAAATTCTGCATTTTTAACAAGCTCCCTGCTTATGGAGCTGTCTCCTTGAGTGCAGGAAGGACAGGCTGTTTTACTTTATAACTGGGACACCAAGTACAGATCCTGGTTCATAGGAGGTGCCTAGAAAACACATGATTGGTAAATAGTTAAATTGAATTAATAACTATAATAAGCAGTAAAACTTAATAAATGCTAGTATTTTTTTAAGTTGTATATATCTACTACTAGATATAAATTTTGGTTGGTGGTGGTCTTCATTTACCAACGTTTTGATTTTTACACTTTTCCAAAAAATGTCAATTGCTATTCTGTACTCTATACAATCAGAAGGAAGTTCAGTTTGAGCACATAAAAATGACATAATATTCTGCAGTATCTAGAATACACAGCTTGATACTTCAGATTTATTTTTATCTTTGAAAGATATTAATAAAATAAGTAATTTATAAAAATGGAGAGATTTTAATAATTGAATCAAAAATACTAATTATGATAAGACTAAACATGTAATGTAGCCGTAGGTTGAAATAAACTTGGAACACTCTAGTTGTCTGCATACAATTTGCTTTCCCCAAGAACTACTTCTGCAAAATGTTCACTAGCCTGCAGAGATAACCCACATAGACTATGTTATTAATATGCAATCTTCCTTCCTGAAACAGTTTACATATACAGTATACAGCATCTGGACCTTGTAGTGGAATTTCCAAAGTTTGCTGTGGTTTGGGAGCTGCATATGGGTCAGTAATCATTATCCAGACACCATCATTTATAGTACACATACGTAAGAATGGGTGTGAGGCAGTGATAGGAACAAGTTTTGAGTGATCCCAAATATAATCCACCTGACTTAATACTTGTTACATGAGTATTTGGTGAGTGAAAAATCTGTTAGGAAAATGTGGAACTTTTAAATAATATGACTCTCATACCTCATTGAACGTTTTGGATTTTTGCAGAAGAGGGAAGAGCATTAATTTTATAGTCAGCAACAACACATTGCATGCCTCCTACAAATTAAGCATCATAATATTATCTGGAGAAAAATAAATGTCATGAGCCTTAATCTGTAATTTCTAGGAAACTACTTGGCCTATGTTCTCATTTGTCAATACCTGTAGTCTCCAACCTTAATTATGTACTGTTCAATAACCTGCTTGCTTGCTTACTTTAGTATAGTGTCTTATCTAAAGTTTCATCCTCTGGGTGTTAATCTCTCACTGGCAACAGTTTCAACCATAATTTTTTGACTCTTGATCACAACTCACTCATATGACCCAGGGAAACAAATTACAGTGTTCTCTTTGCATTGATTTGACTTCCGGGCCTTTGTAAATCTTAATTCTCTAATTAGGCTGTAAAAAGAAACTGCAATATATAGATTCATGAAATAGAATCAGGACAGGGGAAACATTTTTAACAGTTTTGAAGCCCAAGGGCATTTTAGAACTGTCACTATGATGTGTTGGGTTTAAAAATTCAACGGTCTATATTAAAATAAATAGGCTTATGACAACACAGTTCCTGCTTTAGGCATCTCAGAATCACCGTAGTTTCGTATATTTGGAAATGCTTAAATATACTGGAAATAAAAAATTATATAACATTTTCATATTACAATATTAAACATTCTATTTTCATTCCTACAACTACTGTTCCATTTCATGTCCTAATCATTGCTTGTCTAATTTCAACAATTTCTCAAATGGTTTCTATTACTAGGAATCCGTCCTTTGTCAGATGACTTTCCTAGAAAACAATATCTATTTTATGTGACTTTAGTATTTCAGAATCACATGGTTTCCTCATATCTACTCAGTTGTTTTAAAACTAGTGAAAGTATTCATTTTACAAAGGCAATATCACATAAAACTTTGTTATATTTTAAGAAGCATGGAGACTTCTACTTATTGCCATGATAGAATAATTGGTACTGGAATAACCCTCCATGGATGAACAAATATTAAACTGAATGATTGAACAACCACTGGACTATTTGTAAAGATCTAAAATATTGTGCCACTTTCTGATAAAATGTGCATTTACATATATATTATTCTTCAGAAATGTATCTATTAATAGCATTTTTCCTTGGGTATGTGTAAATAAAATGTTAGCTATTTTCTAGTTTAAAAAATGACTTTTATAACTAGTGATTATTTATTTATTTTATATTTAATTGTAATGAAACTTCCATTTATTCCTAAATGTTGATTATTTTAATCCCTCCAAATATAAGTTTCCTAAAAGCAGCCATCTTGATTGTCTTGTATTCTTATATATTCTCATAACGTCGTCCAATACTTGGCATTCTTTACATACTCAAAACACATATGCTGAGTTTTTGAAAGGATGCATACTTATTAATTTTTTTGTCAAATACTCATCCATGTTACAGGTTAAACAGCTTTCCTTTGAAGATTTTTTAATAAATACATTAATCAAAATCACCATATTTGCATACATATTTTACAGTAGACATGATAGAAATTGTAAATGGCTTGGTCATATATATTAATATTACTTACATTAAAGAAATCTATGTTAGCCTTCAGTTACTTTGCATCGTCTTCTGGTAAGATAAGTGGCAAAATATTTAAATCAAGTAAATGGAGAAAAGACACTAACATTATTTTATAGAAAAATACACTTGACAGATGCAAGTTAAGCAAAATAAGATTTGAGGTTTGGTGAAGGGTCTTTAAAATGATAATGGAAAAAATACACACTATGAAAAAATACTCATGAATTTCAAAACTTTTGCATAGTAATAAACTTGTACTAACTTTTTATAACATGTTTGAACAGTATCTAGTTTGAGGCATTAAGAAGAAAAAGGTATCAGTTTGAAAAGAGCCCCTAGAAAAGTAACATGTATTCTATTCAAATGAAGGAAGAACCAATATCAAATTTATGGTGAAGGTTGTGTAGAAAAATAATGAATCATTGATGCTTTATGAAAAGTTTAGGAGGACAATAACCTAGAGAAATGAGCAGTGTGCAAGTGGTTAACTTGTTTTAAGAAGGGACAAGACAATGTTGAAGCCCACAGCGTCAGACCATCCACATCAATTTGTTAGAAATAAAATACCTTGTTCATGCCCTAATTGAAGAAGAACAACAATTAACAGCAGAAACAGTGCACAACACCACAGACATCTCAACTGGTTAACCTTACACAATTCTGACTACTAAAAAATTAAAGTTGTGCCAACTTTCCATTTAATAGATCCCAAAACTTGTTCCTGGGTCAGCTGCAGACAAGAGCAAAACATTCAGTGAAAATTTTAAAGAAGTGAGATCAAGATCCTGAAGGCTTTCTTAAGAGAATTGTAACAGGAGATAAAACATAGCTATACCAATATTATCCTGAAGACAAAGCACAAATAAACTAATGGCTATCAAGAGTTGGAAGTGGTCCAGTCAAAGTAAAAGTGGACTGATCAAGAGCAAAGGCATGGCATCATTTTTTGGGATGCTCATGGCTCTTTGCTTATTCTCTGGAAGTTCAAAAACTATAAATCCTGCTTATTATGAGTGTTTGAGAAAGTTAGTCAATGCTTTAACACACAAACACCCAGCCAAACTTCATCAGAGAGTCCCTCTCTGCCATAACAATGCTTCTGCTCATTACTCTCATTAACAAGGGCAATTTTGTGAGAGTTTTAATGGAAAATCATTAGGCATCCCCCTTAGGGTTCTGATTTGGCTTCTTCTGACTTCGTTTCTTTCCTAATTTGAAAAACATCTGTAAAGGGCGTGAATTTTATTTAATTAATAATGTAAAAAAGACTACCTTGACATGGTTAAATTCTTAGGACCATCATTTATTTAGAGATGAACTAAATCGTTGCTGTCATTGCTTACAAAAGTGTCTTAGCTCATAGTAAGAGACAAAGTTCATACTTAGATTTTTATTTTTAAGTTTAATTTCTTGGTGAAGTTTTTGAAGTCCCCTCATATATGAAACCTTTTCCTATAATACATACAAATAAATGTATTACATTTTACAGCAGCATTCATTCAAAAAATATTGTGAGTACCCATTACATGTCTTTAACCATAGAAGGAATTTGGATGGTATCTGTGAACAAAGCATAAAAAATCACTGTCGTCATGAAACTTAACTCCTGCTAATGGAAAATATGCAACAAATGATAATCAAATAGATATAATAAATTACATATTATGCTGAGGATGCTAAGTATTTTGGGGGAAATGAAACAAGGAAAGTGAGTTTAGAAATAATAGGAAAGTTAAAATTATAAAGAGGATTGGGAGGTAGAGTGACATTTTAACCATAAGAAGATAGTTTATTAAGAGATTGAAGAAGATTTTGGTCACATGGTTCTCTTGGTAAGGGGCATTTAAGCAAAGGAAAAAAACCTGTGCAAAGCCCCATGACACAGCTAATTTGACATGTTCAAGGATCAGTAAGAAGGCCCGGGAGGGTATAAGGCAGTGAGGGAGGAACAGAGGAGTAGATTAGAAGAGAAAAATATTGATATTTAACAAAGATATTTCATATTTGATCATGTTTGTCATATGTTTCACAAAGAATCATGTAGAGACTATAGTCTCTAGATTTTGTAATTCAAATCTAAAATACATTATTACAATTAAGAAAAATTAATTTCACAATAATAATAATGGAAGGTGCAGTGTGTCTTGTTCAGTTGACAAATTCAGAACCAAAAGAAAATGGAAAAATTCAGGTATTCTCATTCACATTTTATGTAAGAGAACTTCATCTCATAGCTTTTAATGACAAAATAAGATGTTACCATAATATAGCACTTTTAGGTGTTTTTAAAAGAAGTATATTCTATCCATGACACTAATAGCCCACAACTCACAATTGGTAGCAGAAGGTAGGACGTTGTTTTTTTTTTAAATCCAAATCTCTAATCTCTCAGGGTATTTCTAAAAGAAGAGCAATTTGATTCTTTAGTTTTGTGAAAGTGAAAGCCCCATAACCTTTTATGGACCAAGTGGTTCATCACATTTGATCTGTTGAGCTATAAAAGCATGAAACTTCAATATGAACATGACACAGAACTCTTACCATTTATTCTTTTGTTCCATGTGGCCACAGCTTTCAGCTCTCAAAAGCACTTCTTTTACATCATTTTTTGAAGTTGGTACCTTTAATGAAAAGGTTTTCTCAATGTCCATGAATTTTGCAACTACTATACATCAGGTGACAGCTTAACAGTAAAGAGCTTTAAAAACATTGCTTCACTTCATTTTCCATAAAATTTAAGTATACAGAACAAAATAAAAACACTATTGTAGCGAAGGCACCAGAAAAAGACTGTCAGTACTTGAATATTTATGATATAATCAGTAATATGTAAAATACATAACATATATGTACATATACATATTTATATTCAGCAGCTAGTTTACACTACCTCTCTATCAATCCCTCCACCCACCTCTCCCTCTTTCAAGTTGTTTCATATTTTGCAGCTCTATTGCTTGGTGCATAAACATTTAGGATAGCTATGTTTTTTGAAGGACTGTCCCATTTATATTAATATAATATCCCTCAATACCTCTGGTAATTTTATTTGCTATGAAGACTACTTTTTCTGATATGAATGTATCCACTCCTGTTTTAAAAACTTATTATTTGCGTGATATATGTTTCATCATTTCACTTTCAACCTTCCTATATTTGAAGTGCTTTTCTCAGGGGCATGTAGTTGGGATATGTGTTTAAATTGACTTTGCTAATCACTTTTAATTGGTGTATTTAGAACATTTACATTTAGTTATTAATATTTTAGGGCTTACTTTTGCCTTTTTGTTTGTGTTGCTGTTTGTTTCATAGTTTTCTTCTGATTTCATTTACCTATCTAGTTCTGGGTTATTTCAACATTTGTTAAATTTTAATTTTGATTTATTTGTAGTGTTTATGAGAGTATGTATTTATTTCTATAGGTTTTCCTTTTAGTCATATTTATGGAGGTTATTACAATCTACTGCTATTCATTTTACTGGATCAATTGAAATACCAAAATCTTACTTCTCTTTATCTCTTAACCTTCTCTAATTTATAATGTAGTTGTGTTAAATTTTTCTTCTGTATTCTACAGCTACTGTAGAGAATTTTATGGGAGTTTTGAATGTAGATCTTTTTCTTTTTTCTTCTAGAAATGTTACTGTTTTCTTTCATGCACTGAATTCTCATCATTATGAGTGTTTTCTGAGGTATAACTTTTATACGTGTAATGTATAGAATGTATAGATATAATGGTTTATGTATAAAAGTTACATATAATATGTATTATATAATATGTATTATGTATGTATTATGTATTATTATTTGTGTGTGCTTGTGTGTGTACGTGTATGTGTATAATAGGGTTCCAGTGGCCTCATCAACCTGGCAACTATGCACCTCTTTTAAAAAATGTCAATAATGTTTAACCCTGTTTTTACAAGTATCTCATTTTAGGGCTTTTAAACATAGGTAAGTTCTTTATTGCTTTGAATGAAATACAATGAAAATGACATTTGCCAGTATCAGGCATCTGGCCTTCCACTGGCACTTTCCATGTTCTAACTTTCTAGGAACACTCACTCATAGGGAATCTATGTTAGTCTGTTATCACACTGCTGTAAGGAACTACCTGAGACTGAGTAACTTATGAAGAAAAGAGGTTTAATTGACTCACACTTCTACAGGCTGTACAGGAAGGCTGGGGAACCTCAGAAAACTTACAATCAGGGAGGAAGGCAAAGGGGAAGCAAGCACATCTTACCATGGCATAGCAGGAGAGAGAGTGAAGGGGGAAGTGCTACCACTTTTAAACAAGCAGATCTCTTGAGAATTC